>NC_000021.9:44237649-44391545 GCF_000001405.40 Homo sapiens
GGCAGACACAGGGTAGCTTTACTGTTTGTGCAGCTACGTAAATGCCTGTGGGAAAATCTTTTTTTTTGAGATGGAGTCTTGCTCCGTCACCCAGGCTGGGGTGCAATGGCGTGATCTCAGCTCACTGCAACCCCCGACTCTGGGGTTCACGCCATTCTCCTGCCTCACCCTCCCAAGTAGCTGGGATTACAGGTGCCCGCCACCATGCCCAGCTAATTTTTTGTATTTTTAGTAGAGATCGGGCTTCACTATGTTGGCCAGCCTGGTCTCGAACTCCTGACCTCAGGTGATCCACCCGCCTTGGCCTCCCAAAGTCCTGGGATTACAGGAGTGAGCCACTGCACCTGGCACCTGCAGGAAAATCTGTGTGTGTCCCCTGCCCCCAAAGCCCTCTGGGCTGGAAGGCTTGGCAAGGTTTCAGGTTTGTGCTGCGGTGCTTCGTCCTTATTCCTGGCTCTTCCAGAGGCTGGTGGCTCTTAGGGCTCAGCAGGGCTGCTGCCTGGGACAGGGAGACCAGGGGACCCAGGAAGCCCTGGCTCAGAGGAACTGCATTCTGCCCGCAACAAAGACGGAGTCAAACAAGAACTCCGGAGTTTGCAGAAGTGTTTCCCTTTAAGGAAACGCTTCTATCCTGTGCAGCAACCTAGGTTTAGGGTCCAACTGTCTCCAAAGGACCACTTGAGAAGCAAGAAGGAGCCTGGTGAGGCTGCTCCCAGTGCCCTGCGGCCAGCAGTCCACACAGCCGGAGAGCCCATCTCTGAGCTGGGCGCCCCATGGCAAAGCACCCCCTGAACTTACCAGCTCGAAGGCTGCTGAAGAGCAGGAAGAGCAGTCCAGGACTGGAAAAAACAACCAGAAAGGCAGGTGAGGCGGGGCCACCAGGGAGTTACCTGTATCTTCCAAACAGGAACAGGCTGGTTCCCATGAGCAGGAGGTAGTTAAGCCCATCACAGAAATGTGAAGGCAGAGCCAGGAGCCTGCCTGCCTCTGTTCTCCATGGGAATTCGGGGTCCGGGGCCAGGACCACCACCCTCCTGCCCAGCACAGCAAGTCCGAGGGGCTGGCAGCCTCTCACCACTCTCTAGCTCTCGCGGTAACAAATCCCCAGAAACACAGTGATGCTGGCGTGAGGATGAAGGGGAGCGAGGGACGCCAGTGAGGCTGGTCTAGCCTTCCTGGGGACAGATGCCAAGAAGTTGTAGGAAATCAGAAAAAAAAAAAAAAAAAAAAGCTTTCAGGGCACATATAGTAGGAGTGTCACTTAAAATGCTGGGGAGACGGAGAACATCAGGCGTGCCCGTGACAGGGTCAGGTGAGTGACGGGACAGCCCTGTGCGGAACGCGGATCATTTTGAAACCAAACCTGAGCTCCTCCTGTTTCAGATCCTGCTGCAGCTGGTGCCCCTGCCTCGGGCAGCAAATTCCCCTCGTGACTCCAATGCCCCTGCCATCTTGGGTCTGGGAGCCTTTGCACCCTGCACGCCACAGGCTCGCCACCTCCTCCCGCCAGCCCCCAGGATGCCTTCCCCACGTGGGGGCCCTTAGTGGCCGGGACCACTTTGGTAGCAGTGCTTACCCCAGCCCCCCAAACCATCAGTTTCTGGGGCCAGCTCCCCATGAAGCAAGAGCCCCAGGAGCAGGGACATCTCCTTCTCTGATGTCCCTGCACCTCCAAGGTCTGGGAGACGCTCATCCCTCTTCTCTGTGGCCTCTGCCTGGGAAAGCTTGGGGGCTTTGTAAGTCAAAGGTTGGTCTTGTGGGAACCTCCCAGTGGGCTGTCCCTGAGCCCTGGAGCCACAGAAACCCCTGCCCCACCCACGATGGCTGTCATCTGAGTCTGCATGGAGGTGTGTCTGTGCCAAGTGAGCACACATGCACCAAGGCGGCCCCTGGCCACCAGGGGCTCTTGAAGTCTGCAGGCGGCCCTTCCTCTCTCTCCCACTCCCCCTGTTGGGGCCACCATTCTGGCTGGCAAGATGGCTGTGATGGCCTCCAGCAGGCCCCCTGCCTCCACCCTTAGCCCCTTCAAGCATTTCCCCAGAGCCACCATCTAAACGACAGCTGTGAGAACTCCTCTGTGCCCCCATTTGTCTCCCACAGTGCCCATATTCATCACCAGCCCACAAGGCCCCTCCTGTCTATGGAGGCCTCCTCAGGACATCTGGGGGCTTCCTGGGCCAGGGTGGGGGGTGCCTGCTCCAGGCTGTTTCTGGCTTGTCCCCTCCCTGGGTGCTGCCTAAGCAGCGGCCTCTGTGTCCTTTCCTTGGACCCTCAGCACCCCTGCATCTAACCTACCCCCACCCCGAGCTTGCCTCAAGACCCAGCATGGACAGGGCCGCCTACCTGAAGGTGTGGGTGGCGGAGGGCTAAGACATTTGGGAGGGCTATGACATTCCGGGACCTTTAAATTCTTTCTCTCTAGGGCAGGATCATAACTGCATACACTTCTAATGGGGAGGGGACCTGGGGAGTGTGACTCCGGTGTGGCCCAGCTCTGAGCTGTGCGGGAGGCATCCCTGGGGTCAGGGGCCTCACAGGTTCACCCAGGGGAGCACAGGCTGCGGACCCTACAACGTGGGTTGCGAAGAGTATATTTTGGATATTTTCGCAAAAATCCAGGAGGAAGCTGTCACTCCTGGTTCAGGCAGCCCCGCCTTCCCCAGTGTGGATCGGCTGCCGGGCTGCGGGGAATCCCACGTGTGTGGGGGAGGGCGTGTCCGCAGACCGTGGGCACCAGCTGGCCTTGGAGAGCGCTCGGCCGGTCACCTCCCTCCTTCTCCCTTCTTCTAGGAAATCAGCAGTGCCAGGGAGTGGAAGGGGCAGCGCCCGTGCCCCGGCGTGCAGGGTGCGCCCGCCTTCCCTCCCTCCTTCCAGCGTTCGCGGTCCTCCTTCCCTGGCAGGGACCCCGCCCCCGAGCCCGCCCCCGCACGGCTGTGCGTCCTGCCATGGGTCCCGGTGCCAGGCCCCGCCGCCCACTGCCGTCCACGCCCCGCCGGCCGCCCCGGCGCCTCCGCCGCCCGCTCCTCGGACCCGCACTGCCAGCCCGGCACCTCCAGGCGAGCCCCGCAGGCCCCGCGTCCGAGCCGAGCTGGGGACGCGCGGGCCGAGCCACCCCGCCCCTGACCGCGGCGCCTCCGCTCCTTCCCCGGCTCACCTGCCCAGCCGCATGGTGCGGGCGGAGACCTCGGGCCGCGGAGACCTCGGGGCGCGGAGACCTCGGGGCGCGGAGAACTTGGGCCGCGGGAGACCTCGGAGAGGAGCAACCTCGGGGCGCGGGAGATCGGCTCTAACTGCGCTCCCGCCGCGCCCGAGGCTCTGAGCGCCCAGCGCGCGGTGTGCTGGAGGCAGCCGTGTCCCCGCCCCGTCCCCGCCCCGCCCCCGGCCTGGCTCCTCTGGCGACCGAGACCGCCCCGGGACAGGAGGCGGGGCGCTGCGCGGCGGCTCCGGAAAGTTCGGCTCTGCCCAGGCGTGTGCCCGTCGGCCGGAGGCGGGACAGAGGCAGGTCGGCCTGTCCGCCTGGACGCGGACCTGGGCGCCGTAGGTGCCCTGGGAAGCGCAGGGGTGGGGGGTACCCGGCAGGAAGGTGGCCAGGGGTGCTGCGGGTGCCGGCGCAGCGAGGGAGGGCACCGTGGGAGGCAAGGGCCGTTCCCCGCGCCGCGCACAATGCGCCGGTCCTGCGGCCCTCCCCGAGCAGGAGTCCGGGGACCCAGGCCCCAAGGCTGGGAGAGCGCCAGGCCCCTGGCCGGCTGCGCTCCGATGATCTCCAGGACTTAAGGCGAGTGAGCTCAGCGACTGCTGAGGAATGAATGACTGAATGAACGCATGCATGAATGGAAGGAGGGAGGGAAAGTGGGCGGGCTCTACCCTCTGGGCCAGCCCCAGCCCGCCCCCACCTAGCCTTGCTCCCCTAGCCTTCTAGGGGTGTGAAGGGCGCTGGCGCAGCCTCTTTGCTTAACACTGGCTCTGAGGATCCCCCGCCGAGAAACCGAGGCAGGCTTGCGGCTCTGGGCTCGTCAGCCTTGGCAGTGGCGTCTGGCCTGGAGTCTGGGGCAGCTGGTTTGGGAAAGGCTGCACCACGCAACCGAGGGTGGGACCCAGAGTCCCTGCTCCTTCCCCACCGCACCCAGCCCACCCCGCCCTCCCTCCCTGATCCCTGCAAGCCAGGTGAGGCCCAGGGGGGACGTGACTCCCTTTCTGCAGAGGCACCTCCGGAAGGGCCTGGGTGAGGCTGCTAGACAGGGCAGCGGGGCACCCTCCTCCCGGAGCCCCCGCCTCTGGGCTGAGGCTCGGATCCCCACCGCCTCCTGCGCATGGAGGAGGCGAGAAGCGCAGGGAGACGGGGGCCCCAGACGGCACCCCGCAGGCTGCCATTCCTTCAACCAAGATGTAGAGAACGCCGTGGACAAAAGCTTTAAAAAAATTCTGAAACCTCTGCCCGTGGGAAGTCAACATTTTTGCGGAGCAGAGAGCCCAGGCACAAAATAAGAAGGCGGAAGAGACGGGCTGGGGGGATAGGGGGGACGGCGGCGGGGAAGGGCAGGGAGGGCGGCGGCGAAGGCGCAGGAAGCCCTGAAGCCGGGCGGCTTCCCCCTCCCAGGCCACGCTGAGAGACGGGGGTTGGGGGGATTTAAAATCGCGCGCCTGGCAGGGGCGGGGCGGGGGCCACCTGCCCTCCGGCGGGAAGAGCTGGGCAGGGCCCGCGGAGTGCAGGGCGGAGGCACTGGCGGTCCGCACCCGGGTGAGGTGAGGCGCGTAACCGCATCTGAGCCGGACTCTTTAGGACGAGTCCCGTCCCTGGAGTCAGAAAACCCGGTCCAGCGCCAGCGTGGACGTGCGCTTCCCGGGACACGCCCAGGGACGCCGGCTAGGACCGGCGAGGCTGGAGGGGTGGCGATGTTGGGGGCTGAGGTTCCTCGCCCCGGGGCGGGCGGCTGCTGGTAAGGGACCGCATGGCCCCGCAGGTGAGGAGGGCGCAGGTGAGGAGGGCGCAGGTGAGCCGGGCGGGCTGCGGGCAGCGCCACCTCCTCCCGGAGGCCCTCCCTGATTGACCGGCCGGGAACCGCGCGCCTCTGGGCCTGCGGCTGAGGTCCGGGGCTGCGCCGCGCCGATGAGCTGACGCCGGGCCGAGCGCTCCACCCCCAGGGCCGGGCGCACCTGAATCCCCTCCACCCGCGGGACTGCGGAGAGGGGGACGGCCCCCGGATACCGCGTGGGGGCTTTGGGAGGATGGGGAATGGGTCCTGGGGGAGCAGAGCCTCCCAAATTAAGGCCTCCCAAGAGCGCGGCCGGTCATCCGCGGCGGCGAAGGGAAGGTGCCCTGTCGGTGCGTCCGGACCCCGCAGCCCCCCAGTGCCGCCCGGGGGCGGTGGGAGAGGGGCCGACACCGCAGGGCCCGCCGTGCTGTGGCCGAGGGGGCAGGTCCAGGCTCTGCTTCCCGGGCAGACGCCGGAGACCCCAGCAAGCCAAGTGCTGCGGGCAGCCCCCCCCCCGCCCCCCCGAGAGAGGGGACGCCGCGTGGAGGCCACAGCCAGGCAGGGGCAGGAAGGCAGCTGGGCCAGAAGGGGACACTGAGGCAGGCCGAGGCGGCCGCGGGGGAGGGTGCCAGGACCAGCCCAGGAACCTCGGAGACCACGGTAAGCGGTGGCTGGTTCAGATCCCAACTCCGGAGCTGTGTGACCCCAGAAAGTTCCTTAGCCCCTTGGTGCCTGCATCCCCTGACGTGTGACATATACATGAATGGGGCTGTTGTAAGTGAACGCACACAGCACACCGGCACATGTGTCACAACACTTAGATGGGTTTAGATGAAGAAACAGGGAAACCTTTGGGAAGTTTCCTGTAGTCAAAGGAAGGTTTTCGTTTTCCCCCTCAACCGTGACTGTTTCTTGGGCCGGCAGGATAGGCTTTTGTTCTAGGGGTGTGGAGAGAGGGCCCCTTGGCAGCGTCCAGGGCCAACTGGGAACCAAGCAGGAATCGTATTTGTGCAGCCTGGAGTTCGAGGCTCTGGGTGCGAGTCGTAGTGCTTAAGCAGGAAGCAGCTGCCTGATGCCCCTAGCCCCAGGCCGCCCTGCTCTGCCGTTTCGAGGGCGTGGGGGTCTTCTGATCTCCACCTTGATGCACCTCCAGGCCCGGGTCCTTTTGGGGTCTGGCACAGCAACCTGCGTTTGACAGCATGGGCGTCCGCTGATGCTGAGAGCTCAACTTCTGGTCCAAGGAAGATCTTTTCTCTTCGGGGAACAGTCATACATTGTTTAACGAAAAGGATACATTCCTTCTGAGAAATGCGTCCTTAGGTGATTTTGTCCTTGTGTGAACACAGAGTGCACACACTGGCCCTGGTGGCACAGCCTGCTACACGCCGAGGCTGTGTGTCACAGCCTGCTGCTCCAGGGCCACGAGCCTACGCGGCAGGTGACTGTGCTGAATAGCGTAGGCAGCTGTGACTCACTGGTATTTGTGTATCTAAAGCCATCTAAACATAGAACAGGTGCAGTAAAAATACCGCGCTGTGATATGGGAGCACTGTGGCATTGCTTGTTGACCGAAGGTTATGTGGTGCATGACTGTATGTTCGTTTCCTGTGGGCGCTGGAACTAACGACCTCACGCTTGCTGGCTCAAAACAACAGCAGTCTATTCTCTCTCAGCCCTGGAGAGCGGAAGCCTGCCTGGTGGAGGCGCTAGGGGAGTATCCTACCTGCCTCTCCCAGCTCTGGGTGGCCCAGGCATCCCTGTGCTTAGCTCCAGCAGCCGCCTCAGTGGCCATGTGGCTTCTCTGTGTGGTCAAGCCTCACTTTGCCCCTCTCTTATGAGGACCTTTGGGATGACACGTAGAACCCACCTGGATGATCCAGGGAGGCCTTCCACCTCAATTTAATCCCGTCAGCAAAGTCCTTCCTTTGCCACATGAGGTAACATTCACAGGATCCGGGAATGGGGACATGGGCATCCTTTGGAGGGTGGTTCAGCTGAGCATGGGATCATGATACAGGTCCTGTGTATAAAATTCAAATACTTGGCAGGTCGGGCACAGTGGCTCACACCTGTAATTCCAACACTTAGGGAGGCCAAGGTGGGAGGATCACTTGAGCCCAGGAGTTTGAGACCAGCCTGGGCAACAGAGCAAGACCCCATCTCTACAAATAATTTTTAAAAATTAGCAGCGCATGGTAGCATGCACCTGTAGTCCCAGCTACTCCAGAGGCTGAGGCTGGAGGATCTCTTGAGCCCAGGAGACGGAGGCTGCAGTGAGCTATGGTTGTGCCACTGCACTCCAGCCTGGGGGACTAGCTAGACCCTGTCTCAAAAAATAAAAATTTAAAATAAAATACATAGAGAATCTCAAGGTGGTGTGGACAGTTCTGAGTGTTGGGGAGAGAACAAAAGAAGGAAAGTGCATTTTGGGTGGCAGAAAGCCCCTAACAGAGCCTTGGGCCCCTGCTTTGAAGCAGCCCTCACAGAAACTGACCACGAGTTATGTTGGGCCCATGACACTGGTTCCCTGGGTGGACACAGCCTGAGCCCAGCCCGCCCTGTCTGGAGCTCTCACCACCCTGCCTGGCCCGTGCCCATGGGCTCACAATGGCTTCAACCCCATTTATGTGTCAGCTCAAGCAGGCCTCCCCAGAGGGCTCATTTGCACTTGGATGCCCTCACCTGTGCTCCCTCTGTGGCTTCAGGAACCCCGGGGTCATTACAGAGCTTGCTAAATTCATCCCTGGACGTGAGATGTGTGTCGTAAGCATCCAGGACTGTCCCAAGATGGGAGAGGCGTTCAGTCATGTTCACTCAAGTGAAGGCTTCTATTCTACTTCCAGATACACCTTTTTAACCTTCAAAGGGTCCAATTTTAACCTTTCTTCCACAAAGCATTTTACGTACCACTAATAGTCCCAGTGCAGACCCCAAAGTTCCCCTGTAAGATTCATTTCCTGTGATTCGAGCACAGCCTGAGGCAGAGCTTTCTGCTGGGTTTATCCTCACTGAGACTCAGACTGCAGAGGGCCAGGAGGAGCCCTGCTTTTTGCAAGCAATACCACCTGGGGTAGGACCCACAAGTGACATCCTTTGTGCGTGGATCTGGCCTTGGCCTCCGCACCGTCTGTTCAGCAAGTCCCTCCTTTGCCTGCCAAGGCTGAGGTCCTGTACTTTTGTGTGTGGATCTGGCCTTGGCCTCCGCACCGTCTGTTCAGCAGGTCCCTCCTTTGTCTGCCAAGGCTGAGGTCCTGTACTTTTGCAAAGGTCCAGGCTGTTTGGTGCAGCTACAATCAGGGTGCGTGGTTTCTCTATGAACGCAAACAGCGGTCTCAAGGGGAAGGCCCCGGCAGAAAGTGCATCATGCGGGACACGGTGCAGGCGCTCCGAAGACGCCTCCTGCTCACTTCTGGCCTCCACCCCCTGCCCTGCAGGGTGACAGATGGCTGTGCCTACACATAAAACACCAGACGTGACCAATAACTATCTTATAATAAATATACTCGAACTTCTCAACTAGAACACAGAAATGCTTTCAGGAAGTACATCGCGCACCACCACGTGTGGTCCTGTGTGCAGCGGCGTGGGCCTCGCCCCGTCCCATGAGCCAGCGTGATGGGGGAGAGACCCTGAGTCTCCAGAACCCAACGGAACGTGGGTCTGCAGTGACGACGGAGACGCAAAAAAACAAGAATCCGAAGAGGAAAGAGACAACGTGAGGAAAGTTGCCTTTGTTCTAGGAAAAGTCTTTTTCTTCACAGTATAGTGACTCATTTATAAAGAGGAAGTGAGTTCTGTTGAAAAATACTTGAAATATTCTCTTAGGGGGAGAAAGCAGTTCTTCACCAGCTTGGTGGGCCACTTGGCCGCGAGCTTCGAGCTCTGCTTGTTCTGGGCCAGCAGGGACAATTCTTCTTCCGAAACCAGAGCCCAGTGCCTGCTGCTGAGAGGAGGGGAGGGAAGGTTGTGAGCAAGCGCAGCGCCCACTGGGTGGCCCCGGAGATGGGGCTGGGAAGGAATCGCTGCGAGGGGGCGAGGGGAACAGCCTGCCTCTCAGTTGTCCCAGGTGCCTAAGACCCCCCCCCCGGAACCCCCGCCTGATTCTGGGAGTTTTTCTCATGGAGGTGGAGTGAGCAACAGGGGACCAGATGACTCCCTTGCCTCCCGCCTCCCCCGGCCGGGGGCTGGTCCCCTGGGAAGCAGGCTGGGGGTCACTCCGTGTGAACAGCGAGCTCCAGGGCCATCGCTAGAGGATGTCACCATCCCTGGGCAGCACCCCCGCAGAGGAAAGGACAGGACTCTGGGCAAAAGTTGGCCAAACCCTCGCAGAGTCAGCGAGCATTCCCAGGGAATTCTATCACAAAGGCCGTCCCCTGGGTTCCTGGGGCTGCCTGTGCCGGGAGCCCCAGCCCTGGGTGCAGGAGGGCAGGTGGTGAGAGGAAAGGTCCCCTGCCAGCCTGCTGTGAGGAGCCCTTGAGGAAGACGGGCTTTGCAGACTTGGCACCAACACCCCCTCTCCTGCTCCCAGCCACCCCACTGGAGGCCAGGAACATTTCTCAGTTTATTTTGGGGTGAAGACTGCGAGTGAAGTGCCAGATACAGTGTCCCCCTCCTCCTCCTCCTCCTCAGGCACCCTCCCTAGGGCAGTGGGGACTGTCCTTAACCATCCTGGGGGTGATGGTGGCTACCTCTGCAAAAGGATTTCTCCTTTCAGTGAGTGGGTGTCTCTCATGTCACTGTTGAGACACCCAGGAGCCTGGGAGGGAAACCTGTGGGAAGGAACTGCCAGCCTCCTTCTGGGAACCAGGTGACCCCAGGATCACGGCTCAGGTGGATCCAGCCCTCGAAACCCTGTGAGGAGCTCTGTGGAGCCTCGCTCAGAAAGGGGGGCTGGGAAGAAGCAGCTGCCAGCCCACAGCCCAAGCCTGCAGGGGCCACAAGTGTGGCCACTGGAGCAGAGGGAGGTGCCTTTTGTGGAGCAGCAACCCTGGGTCTGGCTGCACCTGCCACTTAAGAACCCTGATGGGGCGCTGTTCTCACTGCTGTGTGGACGCATAGAGCCTCCGGGGGCCAAGGAGCCTCTGGGGCCAGGCAGCAGGTGAGGCATGGCCTGTAATGCACACAGGTGTTGCTGGGTCTGCCCCCACCTTCACCCCCGCTCACCCAGCCCCACAGAGCCTGGCATGGCCTCCCAGGAAGTGACATGGCGGGGAACAGGCTTAGGGTTAGGGGGAGGCTGTGCGAAGGCTGGCATGCAGGTGAGAGGGCTTCTGAAGAGAAAGCATGCTGGAAAAGTGCTTCGGCTCAGCCCCACCCAAACTCAAATCCAGGGGAAGCCAGGCCAGCAAGACCTGCAGGTGCCATGCCTTGGCAGGTGCCAGGCAACAGGATCGTGCCTCGGTGGTGACGTGGGAGATGCTGGAACCGGGGAGGTGAGAGGGAGTAAGTTTCCAGAACTCACTCTCAGGCAGGAGGAGATCATGACTCAGCTGAGCCAGAAAGCGCTCGTTCCACACGAATGCACGTATGAGCGAGGCACGCCAGGCGAGTGTGGGAGTGAGGGGATGGATGGGCGGTTGGCTGGAGGTCGTGAGGTCTGGGCCGCCTGGAAAGGCTGTTGAGGGGCGGGGGCAGCTGGGAGAGGCTGTGGGGGCAGCAGAAGGGGGTGCTTAGCCGCAGAGAGGGCACGTGGGGAAAGGCCATGTGTTCAAGGCCCCAAAAGGTGGGGAGGGCAGCCCAGGAGTGCACCGCAGGGGGTGCAAGCGTGTGGGTGGGTGAGACTGATGCGTGTGTGCCTGTGTGATTGTGAGCACATGTGAACGTGTGGATGCAGGTGGTAGTCGTGAGTGTGCTTGTGTGAGCATGTGACTGAGGGAGCATGTGGGTGTGTGGATGAGCGTGACTGTGGGGATGACTGTGTGTGCATGCATGAGCACACAGGTGTGTGGATGAGCGTGACCGTGGGAATGACTGTGTGTGTGTGCATACATGAGCACACAGGCGTATGGATGAGCGTGCAAGTGAGTCATGTGAGTGTGGCTGAGTGTGAGCACGCATGAGCTTGTGGGTGTGCAAGGGAGGTGGGGAGGCCACACGGAATGAAAGCCTGGGGGCTGCAGCCGATTCAGGGCCAGGCCGCCATGGCGCATATGGGTGTCCAGGGGCTGGACCCCGAGAAGCTGAGAGCCAGTGCTGGAGAAGCTCCCCAAGGGGAAAGGGGCATCCTCAGGCTTCGGTGTCTTCAGGGTCTCAGGGTGGCCCCGAAGGCCGACCGCAGTCCCACTGGGGCGCAGAGGCTGCTCTGGGCTTGGCTCTGCTAGACAGACCCCATTTCCTCAGTGAACCCCGCTTCTGGGTCCATGTTCCCCTTGACCCTGAACGCTTTCAGCTGCCCAGGAAATACCTCCTTATGGCTGGGATGTTGCTCCACACGCGGACAGCATTCTGCAAGGATCCGCCGTGGACATCTGGGATGGTGACTGGCTCCATCTGGGGGCGGGAGGGTCGGCCGTGGGTCAGGGGACCTGGACGGTAAGCGCCCCCCACAGGCCCACTGGCCTCAGCCGCCAATGGCCCTGAGTGGTCAATGGACTTTCTAGCCCGACTGTGTTCCCTACGTCCTTTTTTCTTATGAATCACCTTTGGAGAAAAATGCTGATGAATTATTTTAAACTGACAGAACAGACTCTGTGGCAATAAGATATCAAATTACAAACAGGACCTCAGGCCGCGCCAGGCAAGGGTCGAGCCGAGCCGCGTGCCCTACACTGAGAGGACGGACTCTGCCCTCACGCCACAGCTGCTGCTTTTTCTGCAGCGGCTAAACACGCACTGGCCCCGCGATGAGGATGAGCAAGGTTCAAATGACTGCAGCTCATCCACCTGCAGATGCCAACTGACCACGTTCCACAGCCATGACCACAGCTCTGACTGGGCAGGAGACTGACTTCAGGAACCTCCTCCTGATAAGGGACCCCGACCACAGACTGGCTCCGGCCGGTTTACAGAGGTTGTGCGCTTGAGGGCCTGTGTCCTGAGAAGACCTCTGAGGTTTAGGGCCTCATTGCGACACACTGACATGATAAGACTC
Organism: Homo sapiens; assembly: GCF_000001405.40. Classification (NCBI taxonomy): domain Eukaryota; kingdom Metazoa; phylum Chordata; class Mammalia; order Primates; family Hominidae; genus Homo; species Homo sapiens. The sequence continues at coordinate 44,249,713 of NC_000021.9, forward strand.
CACCCCGGAGTGAACAGAGGTCGTAAGTTCCACGGATTTTGTTCAGTACGCACGCAGCAGGACCCCCTTCATGAATATTCACCGCTCCTCCATAACCTGCCGCACAGGTTTAGCCAACCCGGTCAGCACGGAGCTCCTGCCCCAGCCACCCCTCCCCTTCGAAGTGCCTCCTCCTGGCTCCTCTGGTCTTGGTGGAGGCCCCGTGCTTCCCAGCCTGGGGGACGGGACCTTGCAGGCTGTGCCCCTTTACAGAAACAAAGTCTCCTGTTCTAAAAGCACAGACTTTGTGATTTTCAGCTCATGGCGTTTGCTCCCCTTCTGAATAGCTGGATTTGCATTCCAGCCACTCCACGAGATTCCAGCACCAAAGGAACCTCAACGCCACCTGGACCCCCAGCAAAGGCTCTGGCCCACAGGTGCTGCCCACTCGGTGGGTCGGGCCCCCGCTGGCTGTGGCCCCTCCATGGAACCTGAGAGCATGAGGAAATTCCCCCTCCTGAGCCTCACGCCTGTCTCCTGTGGCTGAGGTGTGGCCGTCCCTCCCCAACCCTGGAAGTGTCTGGAACACCCGGCCCATCAGCCCCAGAGGGGACCCATCCGCTGAGTCCAAAAGTGGCTGCTCTGACAATCAGGATTCAGACGTGTGAAGAAAAGGCTGTATGTGTGTGGTGTGAGTATGTGTGCACGTAGTGTGCCTGTGTGTGTGTGGCAAGTGTGTCCCTGTGTGTGGTGCATGTGTACAGTGACTGTGCACTGCAGTGTGTGTGCACCTGTGTGTGTGGTGTGATGTGCGTGTGTGTGGGTGGAGACTGAGGGGGCAGGGGCAGGAGGTGAGCCCCCGAGGCCGTGTTCTGTGAGCACAGGAGTGGTGCGAGGTGGGACTGCCCTCCCATGCTGTCCTTGAAGGGGCTTTGTGTCCCAGGCCGCAGTCCCTGCCCGGACTGCACAGCAGCTCTCCTGGGCCCTGTACACACCTGGAAACCAGGGGCCGCAAGGAGCCAGGCCCGGAGCCTGGGGTGTAGACTGAGCTCCACCAGAAAAGCCCCTCCCTCACGTGGGCAGGGGTCAGAGGGCGGCCCACGCAGCCCTGCACGCACCTCCAGGAAGCGAGATGCGACGTCCAGGTCTTCCTTGTTCAGCACCAGATTGTCCACGAACATCCAGAAGAAGGGCCTGGGGCTGCCTGGCTTGGGCCGTGCGTACTGCAGGAGCCGGTGGAACTGGAACAGGTACCAGCCTGGAGTGGGGTGAGGGGGCAGGGCTGAGGGGGGGCCGGGGGGGCTGGTCATGGGGACGCTGTTCAGGTGCATCTGGGCAGGGGCCTAAGGAAACTGGGGCTTGAGAGAAGGGCTGAGGGGGTCGAGGGGACGCACCGGCCTGGGTCTGAGGGATCCCCCTGCCCCTGTCCCTCCAGCAGCAATGAAGCCCTGCCCAGTGCTGGGGCCACAGAGGTGCATGGACCCCTCCTCCCCCAGGCAGGCCTAGAGTGGGGAAGAGACAGACAGGCAACCCCGAGGGAGGAGCTGACGCAGAGCGCGTGCCGCGGCACAAATACCGCCTTTTAGAGGAAGCTCCAGAGGACACGTGAGCTGCAGTGATGTGGGCACGCTGGGGGCTGCATGGGGTCAGCGGGAGGCTTGGGGGCACAGGGAAGCCTGCAGTGATGGGGACTCTTACTCTGTTGCTCTCTTACTCTGATGAGGGGTGCATGGGTGTGGAGCTAGCTCAGAACTCATCCAGTCGGACACACTGAATGCGTGCAACTTACTGTATGTCAGTGGTGCCTCGATAAAGCTGTTTTTGAAAAATGCTGACAATTTGCAGTTTCTGCCCTGGCATGGAGGTGTGAGGAGAGAGGAGAGGAGACAGGGGTGGTGGGGACAGGCTGCCAGAACTGAAGCATCACTCACTGGGAGGACGGTCACAGGTGTGGCCCAGGGGAGGTGTGGCGCCGTACACAAGATCGAAGGGTCCCCACTCCTCCACCTGCAGGACAGAGGGGAGTGGGCACTGAGAGGCAGCAGCAGTGGGCAAGGTCGCGTGCGGCAGCACGAGATGACCCCAGGGCAGACCCTGCTCAGCTCGCAGGGCCCACAGGCCAGGGCAAGCTGAGGAGTGGAGCCCACTAGGGCAGAGCCATCCACAGCCACCACCAGCCTCAGGGGCTGCCTGCCTGGAGCCCAGAGGAGAAAGCTCCGGGTCTGAGGTGAAGACTCTGTGCCATGCATTTGGGGACTGAATTCTGCCTTTATTTTTTCTTGCTCAAATTCCTTTCTAAGGAGCGTAGGGGAATCACGCCTTACAAACCACAAAAGCTTGTGGAATGGGTGTTTTTGACCTGGTATATTGTGACTCTGCCATGGCACCACATGACAGACAGCAGACCTCCTTATTTTAACTCAAGCATTCCTTTCTACTGACTCCCAGTTTTTAGGCAAAGCTCAACTCTTTCAACCAACTGCCAACTAAAGAATCCCTAAACCCACCTATAACCTGTAAGCTTCAAGATATCTCGCCTTTTGGGGCTGATCCAATGCACATCTTCTATGTATTGATTTATTGATTGATTGATTTTTTGAGATGGGGTCTCACTCTGTCACCCAGGCTGTAGTGCAATGGCGAGATCTCGGCTCACTGCAACCTCTACCTCCTGGGCTCAAGCAATCCTCCTGCCTCAGCCCCCTGAGCAACCCCAGGTGCACATCACCATGACTAGCCAACTTTTTTGTATTTTTGGTAGAGATGGGGTTTCACCAAGTTGCTCAAACTGGTCTTGAACTCCTCAGCTCAAAGTGCTGGGATTACAGGCGTGAGCCACCGCGCCCGGCCCGTGTACTGTTTTCTGATTCCACCTGCAGTTCGCATCTCCCTGAAATGTACAAAACCAATTGTGCTGGGAGTGGTGGCTCACGCCTGTAATCCCAGCACTTTGGGAGGCAGAGGCGGGCGGATCACGAGGTCAGGAGATTGAGACCATCCTGGCTAACACGGTGAAACCCCGTCTCTACTAAAAATATAAAAAAATTAGCCAGGCATGGTGGCGGGCGCCTGTAGTCCCAGCTACTCGGGAGGCTGAGGCAGGAGAATGGCAGGAACGCGGGAGGCGGAGCTTGCGGTGAGCCGAGATCACGCCACTGCACTCCAGCCTGGGCGACAGAGCAAGCCTCCGTCTCAAAAACAAATAAATAAATAAATAAAATAAAAATAAATAAATACATAAAACCAAATTGTAACTGACCGCCTCAGGTGCACTTCCTCGGGATCTCTTAAGACTGTATTTCCCAGGCCATGGTCACTCTTATTGGCTCAGAATAAACCTATTTAAAAACTTTGGCAGAATTTGGTTTTTCTGTCTGTCCTCACATTGCCCTTAGAGAACCAGTCCTGGGAGGCCCAACATGCAGACTACCTAGGGAAGTAACTGTCATCTGTGAACACAGCAGGTGCCGTCCGCAGCCCTCCAGGAGCTAACAGCAAGGGCAGAGCCTTCCCTGCTGAACAGAAACAGCCCCCACAGAGTAGCTCCCTGGGGACCACAGAGTAGGTCCCCACAGGCTATTCCATGGCCGAGCTGGAAGAAGACAAAACACAGCCACCCAACAATCTTGCCTGAACACATGCCCTTCAGTCACAAAAAGTGACCAAGGGGAGGCTGTGAGCAACACTGGCTTCATTAACAGTGATGGCCCTCACTCTGTCATTCTTATTAAATAAAAATTAACAGCTGGACGTGGTGGCTAACACCTGTAATCCCAGCACTTTAGGAGGCCAAGGCGGGTGGATCACCTGAGATCAGGAGTTCAAGACCAGCCTGGCCAATATGGTGAAACCCCGTCTCTACTAAAAAATACAAAAAATTAGCTGGGCATGGTGGCGGGTGCCTGTAATACCAGCTGCTTGGGAGGCTGAGGCAGGAGACTCGCCTGAACCCTGGAGGCGGAGGTTGCAGTGAGCCCAGATTGTGCCACTACACTCTAGCCTGGGCAACAGAGTGAGACTCCATCTCAAAAACAAAAAACAAAAAAGCCCCCCAAAACTTAAGATAGTCAAGTATCAGAACCCCGTCTCCTGATAGCACCAGTCAACAATGGACTCCACTTCCCTGGACCCCCTCAAATCACATAACAGCCCGAATCCCATTAGCCCCAAACTCCTCATGCCTCCGGGGCATCATTTTGTGTCCTTCCACGATGTAGCAAGTGGATAAACCTAACTGTTGATGGCAGGTGCAACCTGAGGGTCTCCGAGTGCCGAAAAGGCATGGTGGGGTGGGGACAGCGGAGGTGAGGGGGGGCTGCTGGTCCCAGGCCGGGAGCCCCCAAAAGACCTGTACACAGGTGGCTGCTCATGCTTCTCTCACAGTGGCATGGGAAGGCACCAAGGCAGCGGGGAATCTGGCCTACAGGGGGAACGCACGACTGGAGCTGTGTCACCTCCTTCCAGCAGCGGGAGGATGCTTTCAAACAGTGACCAGTTGTCCAGGTCAAGGCTCGGCCTCCTCATTTTAGAGGGTGGAGTGGGGGTTCAGCCCCTCCTTGCCGGACAGCGCCCCATCACAGGCAGTGGAATTTGGCTACTTAGATTTCAAGATGTTGGACAAGATGTTTGCCCAACTGCCCTGCTCTGAGCTCTGGGCTCTGGGCTCTGGGCAATGCTGGGACCACCAAAACGTGCTGCTCAGCCCTCCGCTGCGGGGCATCACAGTGGTGGCTGGGCCGGCGGGGTTGGGCTGACTCCTGTCAGACCCAGGATCCCCACCAGGCTGCCGAGAGGCCCCCGTGTGTTCAGGACTCCTCCCAGCCCCTGCTGCCGCCTCCTTGCCCGCCTCATCCTTGGCATTTCCTCTGAGGAAGCTCGCACCCCCGCTCCCACTACAGTGTCTGAGAGTTCACGGCGGTACTCACATCCTTCCTCACTGTGTCTGTGACATCAACCACATGCTTCAGTTGTCCCGGGTCAGAACCACTTTCCAAAAAGCCCAAACTCGTCAGCTCTGGATGGGGAGAGACCAGAAGGGCCCAGAGGGTGAGCGTGGATTGTGCCCCTACAGGGACTCGAAAAGGCTGACGGACGATCAGAGGACCCTCCTACCATTAAGGAGCCAACTGTATATTTTTGTTGTTGTTGTTTTGAGATGGAGTCTCCCTCTGTCGCCCAGGCTGGAGCGCAGTGGCGTGATCTTGGCTCACTGCAACCTCCGCCTCCCAGGTTCAAGCGGTTCCCCTGCCTCAACCTCCCGAGTAGCTGGGACTACAGGCATGTGCCACCACGCCCGGCTAATTTTTTTGTATTTTTAGTAGACACAGGGTTTCACCATGTTGGCCAGGCTGGTCTCCAACTCCTGACCTCAAATGTTCCGCCCACTTCAGCCTCCCAAATTGTTGGGATTACACGTGTGAGCCACTGCACCCCGCCCAACTTTATCTTTTTAATGACGTGGCAGGAGGATTAAGGATGGAGGTTTTTGTCTCACAACAAGCTAAACAAGCAAACATTGCCAAGTATTGATTTAAGAATGTCAAGCACGGCCGGGCACAGACGCTCAAGCCTGTAATTCCAGCATTTTGGGAGTCCAAGGCGGATGGATCACCTGAGGTCAGGAGTTCAAGACCAGCCTGGCCAACATGGTGAAACCCTGTCTCTACTAAAAACACAAAAATTAGCTGGGCGTGGTGGTGAGCACCTGTAATCCCAGCTGCTCGGGAGGCTGAGGCAGGAGAATTGGTTGAACCCGGGGGGCAGAGGTGCAGCGAGCCGAGATCAAGCCTGGGCAACAGAGCGAGACTCCGCCTCAAAAAAAAAAAGGATGTCAAGGACTGTATTACAGCACCAGGCATTTCTGGGATGCGATGTCACCTCTGGCTAGGAAATCCACAGAGCAGTGGAGTCCACTCCACTCTGCAGCTGGTGTGAGCTGCAGAGCCCTGGAACGGCCCTGGAGGAGGCCCTGGCTTTCTCAGCCCCTCCTGGGCAGCAAGACCTTGGACAGGCTGTGCAGGCGCTGCGGGATCAGGCTCCTGATCGGCTGCATGGGGCAGATATGTGCTCCCGCATGAGGCCGCTCTGAGACACTTGTGGGCCTTAGTGGGTGTCCCAGCGGGACACATCCCTAACGGCCAGAGGAGAGGGAGTGTCTTCATGGATTTGGCTGTGCCTGCGGGGCCCAGAAGACAAGTGCCATTTCCAAAGGCCCCAGTGCAGGGTTAGCATGGGCCCAGGGTGGGGAAGGGTACAGGACATCAGCAGTTGGCCGGTCTAGGGGAGGGGGTGGGGAGTCCCGGGGGGTGGCCTGAGGGGCAGTCAGGTGTTTAGAGGCATCTTTCCATGTGTGTCTTTGGGACATCACTGACTCACCTTTCTTGATGTCTTCAAAAAGGGACAGCACCCGGACTGGCTGTCTCCTCCACACAGGCACGGTTTCGAACATCTCAAGGGGATTCTCCTATTTATTAAAAAACCAAAACAGGACATTGTGCCGGCTACTTGGCTACAGAGCCCTTGAGTTACAATGAAAATTCTTCCCTGGATGAACACTCACTCGAGACTCACCGGAGACACACATAAGACACACCTGCTGAGGCTGACTGGGCCTGTCCTGACCAGCACTGCCCCCCCAGGAAGGCCAACTCCACCCCCTGCTCCAGCCTCAGTCTCCCGCTCTGACCTGTCTCCAGCCGAGAGACAGTAGGTGTGGAGGGGTTTGCTGATTTTTTTTTTTTTTTTTTTTTTGAGATGGAGTCTTGCTCTGTCACCCAGGCTGGAGTGCAATGGTGCAATCTTGGCTCACTGCAACTTTCCGCCTCCCGGGTTCAAGCGATTCTCCTGCTTCACCCTCCCGAGTAGCTGGGATCACAGGCACCCGCCACCACGCCCGGCTAATTTTTGTATTTTTAGTAGAGACAGTTTCACCATATTGGCCAGGCTGGTCTTGCTCATCCTGGCAGCTTCCAGAACCTCGGAGAAGAGAGCCCCAAGGCCAGAGATGCCGGGGAGAGGTGAGCCTCGGGGCAGGTGAGGCCTGTGGTTTTCCCTGACCCTGCCAACCTGATGGGCTAGGCGGGCAGCCAGCTCCAGCCTCACATGCTCCCTGTTAAAGGGCCAACCCCCAAGGCCCAAAACTCGGGGGCCTCGGCTTTCAGAGTGCTAGGCTCTGTTCCTATAAAATACCTTCCCATCTGACCCTTTCCTTCGAATTGGAGCAGGCTGAAGCTTGCTAGGCAGGGAGAGATGACTTCGTTCAACCTTAACAAATGTGAGCTGGAGGCCAGTGCAGTTTCATGGTCAGCTCAGGGGTCCCTTGCTCCCCGCTGGCTGCCTCACCGGGGGCCACACCCCTTCTGTAGGAGCTTCCCGTGGCTGGCCTGCAAATTAAAACAGACTGGAGGGGCTGGGCCCGGTGGCTCATGCCTGTCATCCCAGCATTTTGGGAGGCTGAGGCAGGTGGATCACTTGAGGTCAGGAGTTCAAGACCAGCCTGGCCAACATGGTGAAACCCTGTCTCTACTAAAAGTACAGAATTAGCCGGGTGTGGCGGTCGGTGCCTGTAATCCCAGGTACTCAGGAGGCAGGAAGGAGAATCGCTTGAACCCGGGAGGCCGAGGTTGCAGTGAGCCAAGAGGGTGCCATTGCACTCCAGCCTGGGCAGCAAGAGCAAAACTCCATCTCAAAAATAAAAAAATAAAAAACAAGGCCGGTGCGGTGGCTCACGCCTGTAATCCCAGCACTTTGGGAGGCCGAGGCGGGCGGATCACGAGGTCAGGAGATCGAGACCATCCCGGCTAAAACTGTGAAACCCCGTCTCTACTAAAAATACAAAAAATTAGCCGGGCGTAGTGGCGGGCGCCTGTAGTCCCAGCTACTTGGGAGGCTGAGGCAGGAGAATGGCGTGAACCTGGGAGGCGGAGCTTGCAGTGAGCCGAGATCCCGCCACTGCACTCCAGCCTGGGCGACAGAGCGAGACTCCGTCTCAAAAAAAAAAAAAAAATAAATAAATAAATAAATAAATAAATAAAAAACAGACCAGGGGACTTGGCACAGCAGAAATTATTCTTTCACAGCTCAGGAGGCCAGAGGTTTTGAAGTGAAGGTGTGCCGGCAGGCGTGCCTCCCTCAGAAGGCGCCAGGCAAGGACGTGCCAGGCCTCTCCCCCAGCTCCTGGGGCTGCTGGCACCCATGGCTGGTGGACACCTCACTCCAGTCTCTGCCTCCATCATCATGTGACTGTCTTCTCCGTCTCCATTTCCCAAATCTCTTACAGTGACACTAGTCGCTGCATTGAGGGCCCACCCTAAATCTGGAATGATCTCATCTCGTGATCCTTAACTAAATTACATCTGCAAAAACCCTGTTTCCAAATAAGATCACATTCACAGGTAAGGGATGGAGACTTGGATGTCCCTCTCAGAGGGACAAAATTCCACCTTCTCTGCCTTTGTCTGAGGTTCCTGCCGGCCCCCCTGGCTCCTCGGCTGGACTCCCAAAACGGCCCACACCTGGCCAGCAGAAGCCCAGGCACTTGCTCCTGAGGACTGGACTTTGAGACGTGCCAGCCACCCTCTCCCGGCCCCTCTCCCATCTGCTACCAGGGCCTCGTTCCTAGGCTTGGAAGCAACAAAACTGCCAAAGCAGTTTACCCAAAGCCACCATCGAGTGGAAGCCACTATCGGAGAGGAACCCAGGAAAGAGTGTTTGCTCCCGAGGCTGCAGCCGTGGTGCCCGTCGGCGCGCCTGCATTCTGCAGCGGGAACCGAGGGAAGGCCGTAAGTCAGGGCCTGCTGCTGCCGGGTGCTGCCCCTCCACGGGCTCCTTACCGACTCTCGGTCGTAGAAGGCCTTGAGCTGGCTGCGCCACTTCCTCCGACGCTGCAGCAGCCCGCTTCGGGAGGACGGCAGGCACAGGTAGCACACCCAGTTGCTCATGGCGTGCACCTTCCCCGAGGTCCCGGGGCCGACCAGGCTATCCACACACTCGAAGCAGTAGCATCTAAGGCCAGACAGAAAACCACAGCAGCGGACATGACAGCCCACCTCTCCTGAGGATGGCAGAGGTGGGCCTGATTGAGCCTTGTTTTGGAGGGAAAAGTCACGCTGGAGCTCCCTTTGGGAAGACCAGGTGGTGGACTGGGAAGAGGGAGACGGTCCTTCCTAGAGACGCAGAGTGACAGGAGCCGAGCCAGGTGCAGAAGACAGGGAGGTGGATTCACAGGCAATGACAGATCCAAGGAACCCCCTAAGCCACCTGTCTGCCCCCAAACTCGAGCCTGCAGAAACAGCGTAGGGACTCCCAGCAAAACCAAATGTAGCAACAGCAGCTGGGGGAGAGAACTTGAGGAGTGGGGAGCTGTAAATACGAGGATGGCCCAGAAGGACCGAGGAGAGGAGCCCACGGAGGGAGCCGAGGCGAGGGAGTAACGACTGAGGGGTGAGCATACCCCTTGTCACCCCGGTCATGACTGGCAGCCTGGGGTGTGGGGTTTCCATCGCTCCCCTGCACAGCGATGTGGCAATATCAACACCGAAAAGAAAAATCACAATCGCCAACCGTAGACACCCGCCTCCCATAGCTCAGGGCTCTATGCCAAATGACGCATTGGAGACAGAAATCAGAAGCTCTCAGGGAAATCATCCATTTGGGAAGAAAATCCACCCACACTCCAGAATGAGTAGCTGAAAGGATGGGTGTGTCCTCAGCCCCTTCACCCCCCTGGGCAGGCCCCTCGCCTCACCGGGTGCAATCAGGGTTTCCGCAGATGAGCAGCGTCTCTCCGGAGCAGCAGATGGAGCAGTAGGATTGGTACCCGTCATCGTCGTACAGGAAGAGGGCATCCAGGAACTTGTCCTTGGAAGGAGCAAAGCAAGGCTGGCTTGTGTCATCCCTGCTCTGAGGCCATGAGGGAGTCACCCCCAGCCTCCCTGCCTACCTTACATGGGGCGCAGATCCCTCCCTCAAACAGAGGGTGCTGTGTGTGAACCTGGAGACTTCCGCAGCAGATGCAGATGTCTAAAGGAAACATTCAAAGCACACTGTGTTTTCCCAGTGCTGTCAAATACAGCAGACGATTAGGAATAAATTTAGCCAAACAAATATGAGACTTATACACTGAAAACTGCAAAGTATTGTTGGAAGATGTTAAGGAAGATGGAACAAAATGGAAAGATATCCCATGTTCATGGATCAGAAGATTTAACATTGGCTGGGTGTGGTGGCTCATGCCTGTAATTCCAGCACTTTAGGAGGCTGAGCAGGAGAATCACTTGAACCTGGTAGACAGAGGTTGCTATGAGCCAAGATCATGCCTCTGCACTCCAGCCTGGGGGACAGAGTGAGAGTGTGTCTCAAAAAAAAAAAAAAAAAAAAAAAGAAGAAGACTTAATATTGTTAAAATAGCATGAGTCCCCAAATGGAGCTGCAGAGCCCTCTCAAAATCCCAGCTGGCTTTTGGGCAGGAGTTGACAGGCTGATCCTAAATTCATACGGAAATGCAAAGGATCCAGAAAAGGCAAACCCACGTTGAGAGAAAGTCGAGGAGTGGTTGCCTAGAGTTAAAAGAAGGGAAGCAAGAAGGGGGAATTTGGAGTGACTGTTACTAGACATGGGTTTTCTTTTCAGGGTGATGAAAACCTTCTAAAATTAGATGGTGATGATGGTTGCTGACTCTGTAAATAAACTAAAATACATTAAACTATATGCTTTAAATGAAGCTACAGGGGCCTTGGGAGGGGGAGAAGGGATACACGTGGCACAGTGGTGTCCACTGCCTCCTTCCAGGATCTCACCGTCACCCAGGCTGGAGTGCAGTGGTGTTATCATAGCTCACTGCAGCCTCGACCTCCCCAGCTCAAGCAATCCTCCCAACTCAGCCTCCTGAGTAGCTGGGACTACAGGTGCATGCCACCATGCCTGGTTAATTTTTATTTTTATTTTTTTGTAGAGACAGAGTCTCACTATGTTGCCTAGGCTGGTCTCAAACTCCTGGGCTCAAATGATCCTCCCACATTGGTCTCCCAAAGTGCTGGGATTATAGGTGTGAGCCACTGTGCCCCGTCTCTTTTGTCTGGTGTGGGCCAGTATGCAAACACTCACCTTCTATATTTCGCTGGTTAGCCTTGACTTCATATGCAATAAGATCTGGAAAGGAAGATAAGAAGTAGCCCCTTTCTTCTTCCTCTGATCTCTTAATTTAAATTCGGCCAGGAAGTGAGCATCACAATTCGTTTTCCAAAGTCACAGGAGCCTGAGGTCCCCTGCCATCCCGCCCTCACACCTTATCTTGGTGTGTTAAACGCCCATACCTGGGGGAAGACTGTGGGTGGGGAACCTCCTGCCCCAGCCCGGGTGCCTGAATAATGCATGAATACTCCAGAAGCCTGGAACTCCAGACCTCATCCAGGCCTGGGATCAGCATCCTAAGTGACTGGTCCAATAAGCAGATGAGCCCTCACCTCTGCCTGTCCCGGGTGAAACGGAGCTTGAGAGCTCACTGGATCCCACCAAAATCACGTCCATGCTGGGCTCGGCCTCTGGGTCCAGGGCTGGGATGGCCGCCATGGGGATGCTGTGTCAGGACACACGGACACAGATGTGAGAAAGCCGTCAGCCCCTGCTCAGATCCCTGATGCACCCCAGCACGGGAAGCAGCTTGCTGAGCAGACCTTGACTAGTTCAGGCCACCTGAACCCCCGCGGTGACACCCACCTGCCCAACCCAGGGATGAGGGGCAGGACAGCCAAGGCCAGTGCCAGCCCTGAGAGGGGCTCAAGGGTCCCCTGAGGCGTGCCCCCCACCTGCCTGGCCCTGTTACAACATGGAAGATGGGGCAAAAAGGGGAGGGCAGGGCCCTCATGAGGACCTGGGGCCAATGGCCGCTGCAGCCCCTGCTTTCCTCTGGGCCCAGCCTTCGACCCCTCAGGGACTCCCATGCCCCAGCCTCCTACAGTGTCCCTCAGGCCCAGCAGGGACCCCTGGGGATGGTCTTGGCCAGCCGCACCCTTGAAGGCAGCATGGTCAGGGAGTAGGAAAGAGACTCACAGGGCTGCTGCCACGGCTCCGGGTACAGCCAGCTGGTGGGTTCAAGGTTCCAGTGGTCCGGGGCTTCCAGGCTCAGGGTCCCCGGGGAGGACTGGGCCATGGAACGAGGGACGGCGCAGGCAAAGAATGAGCTGGAAGGATCCAGGCCCACCTGGGACAGCGGGTGGCCAGAGGTCACCAGGCTATGGGGGCAAAGAATCTGGGCGTGTCCCGCGGGGGCGGGGAGGGGCGGGGGCGGGGCAGCCCTTCAGTGCCGGTTTGCAGTGGGAGGGGCGAGGAGCTGCGGGGGGTCACTTGGGGTGGGGAGCTAGGAAGCTGGGGGACGGGCAGGGAAAGGGAACCCTCAGGTGGGGAGGGTTAAGAGCTCAGTGGGGCTGGGGGATTGGGGTTCAGAGGATGGGGCCCTCAGGGTGGAGTGAGGGGTGGGGTTTGGGGACCTCAGTGGGGAGTGGGGTTCAGGGGAGGGGTGGAGATGGGAGGACTGGGGATGGGGCAGATGAGGGGGGTTTCAGTAGAGGGGGGCCCTTGGGGTGGGGTGGGGGATAGGGGTGGCTGTGGGGTAGGGGCAGGGCGCTCAGAGGTGGGGTTTAGGAAGGTCATAGGGGTGGGCTTCAGGGCAAGGGTGAAGAAAGGGATGAGGGTGGAGGGTGGAGGGGTGGAGGGGTGGAGGGTGGAGGGTGGAGGGTGGAGGTAGGGCAGGGCGGGGGGTTAGGTGGAGTTGGCCCCCTGGGTGGAGATGGGTGAGGATTAGTGGAGGTGGCCCTCAGGGCAGGGTGGGTGGGTGGAGGGCGGGGCTTAGGGAGATCTGTTGGGGGATTAGGGAGTGGGGGTGGGGGTGGATGCTGAGTTGGAGATGGGGGCCTTCAGGGGAGGTGGTCCTTTGGCGGGATGGGGGTGATGATAGGGTGAGGGTGGGCACTCCGGGGCAGGGCTCAGTGGCGGGGGTCGGGGCTCAGGGCAAGGGTAGAGACGGGGTGAAAGTAGGAATGGGGGTGTGAGGCCGAGGATGGGGGTTTCAGGGGAGGTGGCCTTTAGGGCAGGATAGGGGTGAGAATGGGGTGGGGATGGGCCTCAGGGATCTCAGGGTCGGTTGGGATGGGAGTGGGGGTGGGGGTAGATGGTGAGGAGGAGATGGGGGTGTTCAGGGGAGGTGGTCCTCTGGCGGGATAGAGGGAGGGGCGTTCAGGAGCCGGGCTTGGGAGCTCAGTCTGGAGCCCCAGGTTTGGGGGGCAGCTGTGGGGGAGAGAAGGAAACAGGGAAGGCCCTGGAGGATGGGGTAAGGGGTGTTGGGTGGGGAATGTCAGGGCAGGTGGGGGGTTGGGGAGCTGGGAGGGGTAGGTTCAGGGTGGGGGTGGAACGTGGAAGCAGGGAAGGGAGCAGGAAGGTGGGGTGGGCAGAGGGGCAGTGTGGGAGGTGCGGGGTGGGTTGGGAAGGGGGACTTTGTTGGAGGGAGGTTAGGGGCTTCAGAGCAGGGGGCGGAGGACCGCCGGGCAGGGCTGGAGCCACAGGACAATTGTGCTGGTCGAAAGTGGGAGAAGACCCTTGCGGGAGGTAACCCCCCTGAAGTGTGGGCTGGGCCTGGTGACTTCCTTCTGCAAGTACTGCATGAGGGGTGACCACACAGGGGCAGCCTGATGACCCCTTGGCCCCTGGCCCAGGCCAGCGTCTCGGGGAGGATTCGCCTGGGTGGGTGCCCCGCACCGGGGCTTTCTCCCCCCACCCACAGCCCAGCCTCTCCAGGAGTGAACTGGGTCGGAGCAGAGGCGGCCCAGTGCCTGAGCCCTCCTCACTGGGGCAGTCAGGCCGCCCAGCGGGAGAGTCTGAAAAACAGCGGGGCAGGGGGCGGGGGGACCCTGAGGCACTGCGACAATGAAGTGTCACATGGGATCCCGGGACAGAGAGGGGCGGTAGGGAGTGGGAAATCTGAATAAAATGTGGCTCCTTGGCTCTAAGTTGGTGTGTCTGCAGGTTTGTTCATGTAACCACAGTGTCCATGGGGGCCTGAGGGCTGGGTGGGGGTTGCGGCAGTTCTGGACTAGCGCCTCAAGGTTTGTATAACTTTAAAGCTGTTCTAACATAGTTACTTTTTTTAATGAAAAAAAGTGAAGGGAGAGAATACTGAGGATGACAGTGAGATCACTTCCCTGTGTTTGAGTAAAATGATCTTGTTTTCTCCTCCTTTTATTCCAAAGAGCTTTGTTTTTCAGGAGCTCACGGGATTGAAAGTGATTAGAAGGAGACAGCGGGAGCAGCAGGCCCATCTGTCCCCTGACCCCAGCCCCACACCCAACCTCCCCTGCCCTGCAGGGCTGTTCCCACCAGCACAAGTGGAAAGGGGAGAATTCCTGGGGGCTGGTTTTGGCTCCAAGGAGGGGCAGTTTTCTTTTTTCTTTTTCTTTTTTTTTTTTTTTTTGAGATGGAATCTCGCTCTGTCGCACAGGCTGGAGTGCAGTGGCGCCATCTCGGCTCACCGCAAGCTCTGCCTTCCGGGTTCACGCCATTCTCCTGCCTCAGTCTCCCGAGTAGCTGGGACTACAGGCGCCCGCCACCATGCCCGGCTAATTTTTTGTATATATTTTTTTTTTTTAGTAGAGATGGGGTTTCACCGTGTTAGCCAGGATGGTCTCGATCTCCCGACCTCATGATCCACCCGCCTCGGCCTCCCAAAGTGCTAGGATTACAGGCGTGAGCCACCGCACCCGGCCTGTTTTTCTTTTTCTTTTTCTTTTTTTTTTGAGACAGAGTCTCGCTCTGTTGCCAGGCTGGAGTGCAATGACGTGATCTTGGATCACCGCAACCTCAGCCTCCCAAGTAGCTGTGATTACAGGCATGCACCACCATACTCGGCTTTTGTTTTGTTTTGTTTTGTTTTGTTTTTTGAGGAGTCTCCCTCTATTGCCCAGGCTGGAGTGCAGTGGTGCCATCTCTGCTCACTGCAACCTCCAGCTCCCCGGTTCAAGAGAATCCTCAGCTTCCTGAGTATCTGGGGTTACAGGCGTGCACCACCACGCATGGCTAATTTTTGTATTTTTAGTAGAGACAAGGTTTCACCATATTGGCCAGGCTGGTCTCAAACTCCTGATCTCGTGATCTGCCCACCTTGGTCTCCCGAAGTGCTGGAATTACAGGCGTGAGCCACCGCGCCCGGGCTGCCAGGCTAATTTTTTGTATTTTTAGTAGAGATGGGGTTTCACCACGTTAGCCAGTATGGTCTCGATCTCCTGACCTTGTGATCTGCCCGCCTCAGCCTCCCAAAGTGCTGGGATTACAGGCGTGAGCCACTGCGCCCAGCCTATTTTTCTTTTCTTTTTTTTTTTTTTTTGAGACAGAGTCTCTCTCTGTTGCCAGGCTGGAGTGCAGTGACGTGATCTCGGCTCACTGCCACCTCACCCTCCTGAGTAGCTGTGATTATAGGCACGCACCACCATGCCCGGCTAATTTTTGGGGAGGGGGGTCTCGCTCTATTGCCCAGGCTGGAGTGCAGTGCTGCCACCTCGGCTCACTGCAACCTCTGCCTCCCAGGTTCAAGCGAGTCTCCTGCCTCAGCCTCCCGAGTAGCTGGGGTTACAGGCGTGCACTACCACGCATGGCTAATTTTTGTATTTTTAGTAGAGACAAGATTTCACCATGTTGGCCAGGCTGGTCTCAAACTCCTGACTTCATGATCCACCCGCCTCAGCCTCTCAAAGTGCTGGGATTACAGGTGTGAGCCACCTCGCCCCGGCTGCCTGGCTAATTTTTGTATTTTTAGTGGAGACGGGGTTCACTATGTTGGCCAGTCTGGTCTCGAACTCCTGACCTCAAGTTATCCTGGAAGGGCAGTTTTCTTTTTTCTTTTTTTCTTTTCTTTTCTTTTTTTTTTTTTTTTTGGAGATAGAGTCTCGCTCTGTGGCCCAGGCTGGAGTACAGTAGCAATTTCAGCTCACTGCAACCTCCGCCTCCCGGGTTCAAGCAACTCTCTTGCCTCAGCCTCCCTAGTATCTGGGATTACAGGTGCATGCCACCACACCCAGCATTTTTTGTATTTTTAGTAGAGACGGGGTTTCACCCTGTTGGCCAGGCTGGTCTCGACCTCCTGACCTCAGGTAACCCGCCTGCCTCGGCCTCCCAAGGTGCTGGGATTACAGGTGTGAGCCACTGCGCCCGGCTTCCGGAAGGGCAGTTTTCTAACTTCACACCCCAGAACCTCCTGCAGTAAAGGAAGGTTCTGTCCAGGGCGGGTGCCCTGGCGTAGGCCACAGGACAGGAAGCCCCTCGCATCCATCAGAGCCCCCAGTCCCCGTGCACCCCACTGCTGCTCAGCAGAGACCAGAGCGGTCTCAGCAGGAGAGAGGCCCGGTGCTCTACAGATGGGCCCCAGAAAAGCTGGCCTCTCATGGGGAGCTCTCTGGGAGCTCAGTCCCTGAGGCCACCACTGGCATCGGCCCCTGTGATATACCCACCAGCATGCGGACCACAGGTGCTGGTCACTGGGGGACCTCTGGCCTCACTCTCCATGCCCCAGAAAGCCCCAAGGACGCAAACGTGGCAGGGTGGGCCTTAAAGCTCCCCAAGCAGGGCTACGGGGGCTGGTGGAGCACAGTCCCCGCTGTGTGGCTGCCCCTTCCTGGCACTCATGGATGCATCTGGAGTCTTCCTTCTGCATGAGCTCCCATGTCCTCTCCAGCCTGGAAGCCACCCGTGTGCTGGCTTGATGGGGTGACCCACAGCTCACTACACATTGATTTCTCTTTTTTTTTTTTTTGAGACGGAGTCTCACTCTATCACCCAGGCTGGAGTGCAGTGGCGCATCTCCACTCACTGCAAGCTTACGACATTCTCCCAAGTAGCTGGGACTACAGGCGCCCGCCACCACGCCTGGATAATTTTTTTGTATTTTTAGTAGAGACGGGGTTTCACCGTGTTAGCCAGTATGGTCTCGATCTCCTGACCTCGTGATCCACCCGCCTCGGCCTCCCAAAGTGCTGGGATTACAAGCGTGAGCCACTAAGCCCAGCCTACACGATGATTTCTGATGCTGTTGACCCTAGGGGTCTGGAAAGGCCCCTGTGACTCAACCTGGCCTTGGCCTGGGCCCAGCTGGACCCGGGGTGGCCACATACAGCCAGGGCCATGAGGGTCAGGAAGAAAGGACAGGATGGCAGCCTCCACTGTGGAAGCCCCAGGAGCCTGGGGGTGGTCACTGAAGCCTCACCCAGACCTGATGGCCAATGCACTGGACCCCAGCAGGGGCTGCCGCTTCTCCCACCCTCCAGAAGGCACTGTCATGAGTGTGCTTGGGAACAGGGTGCATAGTCAGATTGTTTGGGACACACTGTCTGCCCCTCACCTGCTTGGAGGGTTGTGATTTACATCCCTGCGTGAAGTTTCTGAGAAGCACATAGGACAGACACCCTTAATCAATGGAAGCCCCCATCTCTTCCAAAGCTGCTTCTGCAGAGAGCCTTCCCTTGATGGTGCATTTATAAATGGCACGGGAAACTTTCAGAAAACACCCATGTGGGAAATCGCACTCCAGAAGTGGGAAGACCGTGCAAACCATCTTCTCTCCAGGAGCCCGTGATAGTGCGAGGACTGGCGCCGATGGCCCGCTGGGGGCTGGGGAGCCCCGGGGACCCCATACCGTGTGCCCTCTGCCCTCCAGCCCATGGTGCGGAAGACACTGTCTCACCTCTGCTTGATCAATCTATAGACAGCAGGAGCCAAAGCCCAGCATCTGGAGACACACTCATGTCCTTGGGCCTCTGAGGGGCAGACTGAGGTGGTGATCACGGCAGGCGAAGGGGACGTGGTGACCCCTCCACATTCAGTGGCCACATCGAGTCACAGCTGTAGTGGGGTGGGGGGTGATACGTTTTGTGTTTGTGGAGTGAATGAACGAATGAGCAAACATTCATTTTTCTCCTGAAGACAAAGTGCCGCTGGAGTTAGAGGTGGCGTGAGCTCTTGCGTCTCCTGATCTAGAGAGGACTGCAAGGCGCCCCAGGGCCCATGGGTCCCCAGACTGCTCTCCAGCGCCACACCCAGGCCTGCGGCTCTCTCAACCTTGGATGAAGCTGATGCTTTAATATTGAGAAAGACAAGCCTGGGAGTGGGCCCAGCGCCCACAGTGAGGTCCTGGTTCTCTCCTGCAGACGTCAGCAGCCTCACAGAGCAGGCCTCAGACAAGGCTGTTCGGGACAATAATAAAACGAGTGAAAAAATAAGGCCACTTCCAAATCGTGGCTCCCACAAAAACAAGGTCCCGGGGCCACCCACAAAAATGACCGAATATCCCCCTCTCCTGGCTGAAAGGGGTGCGTGAAGCCTCTTCCCGGGCCATAGTTGGGGTTCACTGAGGCTCCCCATTGAAGAACCACAGCGCTCCTAGCCGAGCCCGGTCCAGAGCTGCCACGGTGAACACGGTCAGATAGTCAGGGACACGCTGTGGTCACAGTTGGCACCTTTGTATTAGAGTCTGAGAATCCCGAAATACTACATCTGCTTCACCCGTTAAATTATCCACCATTTCCCCCAAACCTACTAAGTAAAGGAAATTTCCTTTATGGTACATTTATAAAAGCCATGTACGAAATTGTGTTCTGGAAAACACGAGTTTTATGATGTTCGCATATGTCACATACTTTCATAGCTCAATATTCAAAAGCTGCAAAGTGGGAACAGTGAAATGGTGCTGGATTGTGCAGCCCCCAATGCTACTGAACTATGACATGAAATCTCTGGCAAAGCTTAAGTCTCTCTTCTCTGTTCCTTTCATTTTCTTTGTAACCCTTGCTTGTTTTTTTCTTATTAATTTGAAAGCCTCTTTATATATTAAAGATATTGACTCATATAATCCTCGTATACATAAGTCACAAATATTTTCTTCAGCTTGTTAATCTATTTTAATGTTTAATGGCATTTTTCTATGCAAGCATATTACATTATCATTTAGTCAGGTCCATGAGTCTTTTTTTTTTTTTTTGAGAAGGAGTCCCGCTCTGTTGCCCAGGATAGAGTGCAATGGCATGATCTCTGCTCACTGCAACATCCGCCTCCTGGGTTCAAGCAGTTCTCCTGGCTCAGCCTCCCGAGTAGCTGGGATTCCCGGCACGTGCCACCATGCCAAGCTGGTTTTTTTTTTGTATTTTTAGTAGAGACAGGGTTTCACCATGTTGGTCAGGCTGGTCTCCAACTCCTGACCTCGTGATCTGCCCACCTCGGCCTACCAAAGTGCTGGGATTACAGGTGTGAGCCACTGCGCTTGGCCCTGTCTACGAGTCTTTTTTTAGATTTCCATTCTTCCTAACATATTTAAAAAGTTCCTCTTCACCCCAAGATGGTATAAGCATGCACCTTTATTTTCTTTGGATATTTTATTTCATTTTTTCCATTTCATCATTTCATGTCTTCATTTAAGTCATTTTATGTATTAATTCTAATTGGAATAATTTTAGTGTTTGCCATGGCTTTTGCGAATTACTATCCAGTTCTCTCAAGATCACTTTTGAATACGCCCTCCATTCCCTGATGCATTCAAAACCGTGTGTCAATCACCTGCCTCTCTGAGTGCCTGGGTCTCAGGCTTTGCATTTCTCTCCAGGGGTGTGTCAGTTTCTGCCTTGGAGCTCCTGCCACGCTGGCTGTAGCTTTATACCATGTTTAAACACCCCGCGCCGTGTGACAGTCTTCAGAAGTGTCTTGTCTCGTGTTCACTCACCTTCCACAAGAACATTAAATCAAGTTCTTTGAAAAATCCCATTGGTAATTTGATTGGAATGAATGGTATTAGATTTACACACTAATTAAGGAAGAACTGACTTGTAAAAATACTATTAAGAAGTTAAATCCAGGCCGGGCACCGTGGCTCACGCATGTAATCTGAGCATTTTGGGAAGCCGAGGCAGATGGATCACCTGAGGTCAGGAGTTTGAGACCAGCCTGGCCAACGTGGTGAAACCCCATCTCTACTAAAAATACAAAAATTAGCTGGGCGTGGTGGTGGGCACCTGTAGTCCCAGTTACCTGAGAGGCTGAGGCAGAAGAATTGCTTGAACCTGGGAGGCAGAGGTTGCAGTGAGCCAAGATTGCGCCATTGCACTCCAGCCTGGGCAACAAGAGCAAAACTTCGTCTCAAAAAAAAAAAAAAAATTAAATCCAGGCACACACAGGGGCTCACACCTGTAATCCCAGTGCTTTAGGAGGCTGAGCTGAAGGATTTCTTGAGGCCAAGAGTTGGAGACCAGCTTGGGCAACATAGCAAGACCCCATCTCTACCCAAAATGAGGTGGGAGGATCACTGAGTCTAGGAGTTCGAGGCTGCAGTGAGCCGTGGTCTCACCACTGCACTCCAGCCTGGGTGACAGAGTGAGACCTTGCCAAAAAAAAAAAAAAAAAGTTAAATCTAGGAACATGATGTATCTTTCCATTTCTTTCCTCTTTCTTTTTTTTTTTTTTTTTGAGACGGAGTTTAGCTCTCGTTGCCCAGGCTGGAGTGCAATGGCGTGATCTCGGCTCACTACAACTTCCGCCTCCCAGGTTCAAGCAATTCTCCTGCCTCAGCCTCCCAAGTAGCTGGGATTACAGGCATGCACCACCACGCCTGGCTAATTTTGTATTTCTTTTAGTAGAGACGGAGTTTCTCCATGTTGAGGCTGGTCTCGAACTCCTGACCTCAGGTGATCCGCCTGCCTCGGCCTGCCAAAGTGCTGGGATTACAGGCGTGAGCCACTGTACCCGGCCTCTTTCCTCTTTTTTTTTTGAGACGGAGTTTCGTTCTTGCTGCCCAGGCTGGAGTGCAATGGCACGATCTCGGCTCACCGCAACCTCCACCTCCCGAGTTCAAGCGATTCTCCTGCCTCAGCCTCCCGAGTAGCTGGAATTACAGGCATGCACCACCATGCCCAGCTAATTTTTTGTATTTTTAGTAGAGATGGGGTTTCTCCATGTTGGTCAGGCTGATCTCAAACTCCTGACCTCAGGTGATCCCCCCACCTTGGCCTCCCAAAGTGTTGGGATTACAGGCGAGAGCCACCGCGCCCAGTCTCTTTCCTCTTTTTAAAAAATGTTGAGTACTTACAGCAGGGTGCAGTGGCTCACGCCTATAATCCCAGCACCTGGGTGGGCAGATACTCGGGCCCAGGAGTTAGAGACCAGCTTAACCAACATGGCAAAACCCTGTCTCCACTAAAAATACAAAAATTAGCCGGGCATGGTGACACATGCTTGTAATCCCAGCTACTCGTGTGGTGAGGCATGAGAATTGTTTGAACCTGGGAGGCAAAGGTTGCAGTGAGCTGAGATCGCACCACTGCACTCCAGCCTGTAGGACAGAGCAAGACTCTGTCTCAAAAAAAAAAAAAAAAGTGAGTATTCACTGGTATTGTGAATATTTTTCCATTATATTTTATTTCCCTTTTCTTTCTTTTCTTTTCTTCTCTTTTTTTTTTTTTTGAGACGGAGTCTTGCTCTGTCGCCCAGGCTGGAAGTGCAATGACACGGTCTTGGCTCACTGCAACCTCCGCCTCCTGGGTTCCAGCGATTCTCCTGCCTCAGCCTCCTGAGTAGCTGGGATTACAGGCACCTGCCACCATGCCCGGCTAATTTTTGTAATTTTAGTAGAGACGGGGTTTCACCATGTTGGCCAGGCTGGTCTCGAACTCCTGACCTCAGATGATCTGCCCGCTTCAGCCTCCCAAAGTGCTGGGATCACAGGTGTGAGTCACTGTGCCCGGCCTAGTTCCTATTTTAACATCAGAATGAATCTATGCATGTGTCTACAACTGAAGCCACGCTTATGCTTACAGATTAAACAGTGGCACGCTGGACCCCACGCAGTCTGAGCCCTCGGTCCCGGCTTCCCGTTACTGGCTGGCCCATTATCTGCGGAGAGGGACGCCCGGTCTCTCACCTGCCCCCACTGAGGGACATTTGGGTAGTTTCCGTTCTTTTGTCCTCCCTCTTAATCTCAGGGGACTCCCTTCCAGCCCCGAACCAGGCCACATTCTCCTCTATTCTCTGTGCCTCAGCAGGCCAGGAACAGGTGGGGACATGGGTGTGGAAGGGACGTCCCCAGAGCACCCTGGCCTCAGTGCCCGCTTCCATGGCCTGCAGTGGCTCAGAAACAGCACACCAGAGACCCGGAAGGGCTGAGGAATGGCTGGAGTCTGCCTGGGGGCTCAGGGCCAGGGCTGAGGATGCCGGAATGGGGGTGCCTGCAGAGGCCCTCTGACCTGGAGACTCCCTGTGTGTTTTCTGCACACGTTACTATCACTCAAGGGTTGGCACCTTTCCCCAGCACTAACCCATCAGCACATCTGGGGCCTGCTCCCCTTGTCTCTGGCCGGGTGGAGAGGCTGAGGGAGCCATGTTGTTTCTCTTGTCCATGCAGTGGGTGTGTCCAGACCTGCTCCAGGGCAGGCCCTGGGCAGACGCTGGGAGAAAGCCAGCCAAGTCTCTGGGAAAAGTGGACCCACCAGGCAGGGCTGCGGCCCCGAGGCCAAGTGGGCTAGGGCGGGTTCTTTGGGAACCTGGGATAGCCAGGGGACCCTGCAGAGATACAGGGGTGAGGCCAGAAGGCAGGCCTGCTGGGCAGAGGGAGGGTTCCTCCATGGCAGGGAACAGGGACTGGCTGCCCGGCAAAAGGCCAGCAATGAGGGGCTGGGAAGTCAAGCTGCGCTGGGGTCTGGAGGAAGAGCAGGTGCTGGGCTGGGCCAGGAGGGGACCAAGGGTGCGGTGCCTTCCTTTCTGGTGCCAAGGGCCATGGGCGGCTGCCAGCGTAGAAGGCTCCTGGGGCCCCTCTGAGCACAGGCTTCTCCTCGGTGTGGGGGGCTCTTCCTGCCCAGGGTCGGGGGCTCTTCCTGCCCAGGGTGAGCCTGTAAGCCAGCACAGCCGTGAGCACCTGAGTCGACAGCAGAGGGGCAGGGCCCCAGGTGAGGACTGTCACAATGGGGCCAGGGTGAGGATGCGCCTCGGCACAGGTGGCCGTGTGCGGGTCCAGACGACAGGCTCCCCCGGGCCTCCAGCTGAGGACACCCCACTTACCCACCTCCCTCTGTCAGGGCCACCGTCTGACTCTGGATTCAGGGTTGGCCGATGCGTTCTGGATCCTTTCCTTGTCCTTCACCTCTGCACTGCCTCATGGGGACAGACCCTGTGGGAAGCTCCCATCAGCACGCAACGCCCTGTGGTGGTTTCTTCCATTCCTTTCGTTCTGGGCTTTCTGACTATGGTGGAGCCGGCTGTGTTTGCTGCTTGTTTTTAACCCCTTCGGTAACAAGAGCTCCGACTACAAACCCCAGTGCTGATGGGGCCCATGCCAGGGGTGGGGGTGCCAGAGGGCTGTTCCCTGGTGCCACGCTGCCAACCCCTTGGTGCTGATGGAAGGCCCAGCAGGGGAGAGCCACCTACCCTGGCAGGGAGCAGGTGGGCAGAGGGAAGATGTGGAGGGTGGAAGGGAGGGGGCTCTGTTCTAGGAAGTCCTTGGAGACCCCTGTGGGGCACCTTGGGCTCCCTCCGAGTGGTGCAATGTGAGCAGTACCTGGAGCCCATCCAAAGGTGGTGTCCACACCCACCAGCACCTCCGCCGGGCAGGCTGGCAGACGCCTGAGCTCAACCTCGGTCCTGGGTGTGGGCGAGTTTCTGCAGGTTATGGGGGGCCTCTGAGGGGAGCCAAGAAGGGGTTCCCCCCACCAAAAGCCTTGAGGGGTTCAAGTGGCCCCAAGGACACAGCTCTAGAAATCAACAGGGTGACCCCAAGTTTCCTATAGAAATGCCAAGGACTTCTAAGAGCAGAAGCAAGGGGATCGCTGTGTGGCCAGACTCCAAAGACGTGGTTGTGTAGAGCCACGGTCACTAAGACCACAGGGCCCAGGTGAACCAATGGACACACGGACCGTGGAAGGGGGAAGATGCAGAAACAGACCTCATGCCTATGGACAGCTGGCCTTCGACCAAGGAGCAGAGACCATTCAATGGAGAAAGGGGTATTTCCAGTGCCAGGGCAACTGGACACGCACCTGCAAAAGGATAAACCTCAGCTCCTGCCTACTTCACACCATACACAGAAGTCAATTTGAGGCCAGGCGTGGTGGCTCATGCTTGTTATCCCAGCACTTTAGGAGGCTGAGGGGGGCGGATCAGTTGAGGTCAGGAGTTCAAGACCAGCCTGGCCAACATGGTGAAACCCCGTCTCTACTAAAAATACAAAAAAACTAGCTGGAAGTGGTGGCGTGCACCTGTAGTCCCAACTACTCAGGAGGCTGAGGCAGGAGAATCGCTTGAACCCGGGAGGCGGAGGTTGCAGTGAGCCGAGATCCCACCACTGCCCTCCAGCCTGGGTGACAGAGCGAGACTCAGTCAAAAAAAAAAGAAGTAAATGATGAAGTTTCCAGAACTTTTAGAATATAAGAGAATATCTGTGTGAACTGGGGTAGCCCAGTTCACTAGCCATGAAAGAGAAATTGATGCACTGTGCTTTCTCGGAATGAAAAGCTTCTGCTCATTGTAGCAGAGGCAAAACATTTTTCTTGAGCCTCATAATTTATTTATTTATTTATTTATTTTTATTTTTTGTGATGGAGCCTCGCTCTGTCACCCAGGCTGGAGTGCAGTGGTGTGATCTCGGCCCACTGCAGCCTCCGCCTCATGGGTTCAAGCGATTATCCTGTCTCAGCCTCCCGAGTAGGCGGGATGACAGGCGCCCACCATGTCCAGCTACTTTTGTATTTTTAGTTGAGACGGGGCTTTGCCATGTTGGCTAGTCTAGTCTTGAACTCCTGACCTCAGGTGATCCACCTGCCTCAGCTTCCCAAAGTGCTGGGATTATAGGCATGAGCCACTGCGCCTGGCCCTAAATTCTTAGTTGGAATAGACCCTGTGACAAAAACCAGATTTTAACAAGAGAAACAAACAGAAGTTTATGAACGTGCATATTTCACGGAAGAACCTACAGAATGAGTCGTTCTCCAAGAGGTGACTTTGAATTCCAGCTTATGTAGCATCTTCAACCAAGGACAGTACATTTTTGGAGAAGTGACAAGGCAGAGGAGGACTTTGAGTCCCCAGGGCTGGCAGCTTGTGGGAAGGCAGAGAAGGGCAGATGGAGGTGAGTTGGGGAAGCTTGCTTGTGTAGATGGTGTTAGGCCGTTCTTGCTTCCCTCTAGAGAGATACCTGAGGCTGGGTAATTTATAAAGAAGAGAGATTTCATTGGCTCCCAGTTCTGCAGGCTGTACAAGCATGGCGCCAGCATCTGCTCAGCTTTTGGGGAGGCCTTGGGAAACTTACGATCACGGTGGATGGCAAAGTGGGAACAGGCACTTCCCATGGTGACAGTGGGAGCAAGAGAGAGGGGGAGGTGTCACATGCTTTACACAAGCAGATAGCACGAGACCTCACTTATCACCAAAGCAATGGTGCCAAGCCATTCATGAGGGATCAGGCCCCATGATCCGATCACCTGCTACCCTGCCCCACCTGCCCCACCTGCCCCACCTCCAATGCTGGGAATCACATAACCACCTGCTACCCTGCCCCATCTGCCCCACCTCCAACGCCAGGAATCATATAATCCCTGCTACCCTGCCCCACCTGCCCCACCTGCCCCACCTCCAACGCTGGAAATCACAGAATCACCTGCTATCCTGCCCCACCTCCAACGCTGGGAATCACATTTCAGTGTGAGATTTGGAGAGGACAAACATCCAAACCATATCATAGATTCTTCTAGTATCATCTTTAGGCCAATAAGAATCCAGTTGTTGTCAGTGATTAACCTTTGTTCCTGGCAGAGAGGGGAGGTGGGATATATTTTGTCATCATAAAAAGGAAAAAGTCACAGGATCAGATTGATTGATGCAGAAAAAGCATTTGACAAAATTCAATATCCATTCACAATAAGAACTCTCAGAGAAATAGAAATAATGGGAGCTTTCCTCAACTTGATAGAGAACATCTACAAAAAACATGCAACTAATGCAAAAGACTGGATGCTTTCCCCCTAAGATCAGAAATGAAGCAAGGATGTCCACTCTCATGACTGTGATTCAACTTAGTGCTGGAAGTTTTAGCCAGTGCAATAAGGCAAGACCAGGAAATATAGGCATATAGGTTGGAAAGCAAGGAATCAAACTGTCCCTATTTAGAGAAAACATAATTGTCTTTGAAAAAAAAAACCCAAAGATTTAACAAAAACCACTCCTAGAATTAAGGAAATGAGTTCAGCGAGGTTGTAGGATACAAGATGAACATGCAAAAACATTAGAATTTCTATATATCAACAATAAACATGTAGACACCAAAATAAAAACCACAAAACCATTCACACTTGCTCAACATAAAACACGTACAGGACTTTCATGCTGAAACTATGAGACACTGTTTTTTTAAAAAAATCAATGAAGGTTTCACAAAATAGAGAGGCATACGATGTTCATGGATCAGAAAATTCGCATCATAAAGATGTCAAGTTTCCCCAAGCTGATATATAGGTTAAATATAATTCCTATCAGAATCCCAGCAAGATTTTTTTTTTTTTTTGACAGAATCTCACTGTGTCTCCAGGCTGGAGTGCAGAGGCGCGATCTCGGCTCACTGCAACCTCCACCTCCCAGGTTCAAGCGACTCTCCCACCTCAGCCTCCTGAGTAGCTGGGACTACAGGAGTGCGCTGCCACGTCCAGCCAATTTTTGTATTTTTAGTAGAGACAGGGTTTCACCATGTTGGCCGGGATGGTCTCGATCTCTTGACCTTGTGATCTGCCCACCTTGGCCTCCCAAAGTGCTGGGATTACAGGTGTGAGCCACCACACCTGGCCCAGAATCCTAGCAAGATTTTTTTAATAGATAGAAACAAAATTACTCTAAAATTTATATGAAAAAATCAAAGAAACTAGAATAGCTGAAACAATTTTGAAAAATAAGAATGGGCTGGGTGTGGTGGCTCACATCTGTAATCCCAGCACTTTGGGAGGCCAAGGCAGGCTGATCACCTGAGGTCAGGAGTTCAAGACCGGCCTGACCAATATGGTGAAACCCCATCTCTACTAAAAATACAAAAATTAGCTGGGTGTGGTGGTGTGTGCCTGTAGTCCCAGCTACTTGGGAGGCTGAGACAGGAGAATAGCTTGAACCTGAGAGGCGGAGGTTGCAGTCAGCCAAGATTGCACCACTGCACTCCAGCCTGGGTGACAGAGAAAGACTAAAAAAAAAAAAAGAAAAAGAAGAATGAAGTGAGAAATCAGTTTACTAGGTCTCAAGATTTATTATATAGCTACAGTAATCAAGACTGTGTGATATTGGTAAACAGACACATAGACCAATGGAACAAAGCAGAGAACCCAGAAATAGATCCATACGAATATGCCCAACTGCTTTTTAATTAATTAATTTGTATTATAAATTCACATAACATGAAAGTTACCATTTTAACCATTTGAAAGTTGAAAATTCTGTGGCAATTAGTACATCATGATATTGTACAACAGTCATCACTGTCTTAGTTCCAGAACTTTTTCATCCACTCTTAGGTGGAAACCCCATACTCATTAAACAGTCACTCCTAATTTCCCCTTCTCTCCAGCCCCTGGAAACCACCAATCTGTTTTCTGTCCCTACAGATCTGCCTATTCTGTGTATGTCATATAAATGAAATCATACAATGTGTGGCTCTTTCATGTCTGGCTTACTTAGCATAGCATTTTTTTTTTTTTTTTTTTTGAGACGGAGTCTTGCTCCGTCACCCAGGCTGGAGTGCAGTGGCGCGATCTCGCTCATTGCAAGCTCTGCCTCCCGGGTTCATGCCATTCTCCTGCCTCAGCCTCCCGAGTAGCTGGGACTACAGGTGCCCACTACCTCGCCTGCCTAATTTTTGTATTTTTAGTTGAGACGGGGTTTCACTGTGTTAGCCGGGATGGTCTCGATCTCCTGACCTCGTGATCCACCCGCCTCGGCCTCCCAAAGTGCTGGGATTACAGGCATGAGCCACCGCGCCCGGACAGCACAGCATTTTTGAGGTTCATCCACATTGCAGCAGGCATCAGTACTTTATTCCTATTTACAGCTGAATGATATTCCATCATATGGCTATACCACATTCTATGTATCCATTCTTCTGTTGATGGACTTTTGGGTTGTTTCTACCCTTTGGCTGTTGTAAATGGTGCTGCTATGAACATTGGTGTACAAGCTTTGGCTTGAATACCTGCTTTCATTTCTTTTTGGTGTATCCCCAGAAGTGAAATTGCTAGATCATATAGTAATTCTATATTTAATTTTTTGAGGGACTGCCAAACTGTTTTCTACAGTGGCTGTACCACTTTCTGTTTCCATCAGCAACTTGTGGGGATTCCAATTTTTCTTTTCTTTTCTTTTCTTTCTTTTTTTTAAGATGGAGTCTCGCTCTGTTGCCCAGGCTGGAGTGCAGTGGCGCGATCTTGGCTCACTGCAAGCTCCGCCTCCCGGGTTCACGCCATTCTCCTGCCTCAGCCTCCCGAGTAGCTGGGACTACAGGCACCTGCCACGACGCCCAGCTAATTTTTTGTATTTTTAGTAGAGACAGGGTTTCACCGTGTTAGGATGGTCTAGATCTCCTGACCTTGTGATCTGCCCGCCTCGGCCTCCCAAAGTGCCGGGATTACAAGCCTGAGCAACCGCGCCCGGCCGGGGATTCCAATTTTTCTACATTCTCACCAACACGTGTTATTTTCTGTTCTTTGATAATAGCCATCCTAGCTGGGGTAAAGTGGTATCTCATTTGATTTTAATTGGCATTTCCCTAACGATTGATGATGTTGAACGTCTTTTCATGTGCTTGTTGGCCATTTGCCTATCTTCTTTGGAGAAATGTCTATTTTAGTCCTTTGCCCAGTTTTTAATTGGATTGTCTAAGAGTTCTCCATATGTTCTGGATATTAGACCGTTATCAGATATGTGATTTTTCAAATGTTCACTGGGGGGATTTTTCTCTCTCCTGACAGTGTCCTTTACTGTATAAACATTATTTTATTTTATTTATTTTATTTTATTTTATATTTTATTTTATTTTATTTTATTTTATTTTATTCTGAGATGGAGTTTCACTCTTGTTTCCCAGGCTGGAGTGCAACAGCGAGATGTTGGCTCACTGTAACCTCTGCCTCCCGGGTTCAAGCGATTCTCCTGCCTCAGCCTCCCGAGTAGCTGCGATTACAGGTGTCTACCACCACGTCCGGCTGATTTCTTGTATTTTTCGTAGAGACAGGGTTTCATCATGTTGGCCAGGCTGGTCTCCAACTCCTGACCTCAGGTGATCCACCTGCCTTGGCCTCCCAAAGTGCCGGGATTACAAGTATGAGCCACTGTGCCTGGCCTATAGAAACATTTTAATTTTGATGAAGTCCGGTTTATTTATCTGATGTTTTTGCCATTATATCTAAGAAAATACTAACAAATCCATGTCATGAAGATTTCTCTCAATGTGTTCTTCTAAGAGTTCTGTAGGTTTTGCTTTTCTATGTAGGTCTTGGATCCATTTGATTTACTGCCCAACTAATTTTTGACAAAGATATAAAATAAATTTAATGGAAGAAAGACAACCTTTCAACAAATTGGACACCCATGGAGTAGGGGCAAAGAGCCTCCGCCTAGGTCTCACATCTTCTGTAAATATTAACTTGGAAGGGATCACAAAGATTTAAATGTAAACGTAAAATTATAAAACATTCAGAAAAAAACGTAGGAGAAAATCTTCAGGATCTAGGGCTGGGCAAAGAATTCTTAGACTTGACTCCAAAAGCACAAGAATAGAAATGTAAAAGGAAAAATTGATAAATTGGACTTCTTCCAAATTGAAGGCCGGCCTTGTAACTGAAGCATATGGTCCTGCTACACCCAACACTGGGCTGGTGGGTTAACTGGATGGAAAAATATGTTTATCCAAGTATGGCCTGAGGTCTCCAAGGGCCATTCTGTGCCCTGCTGCAGTCAGCACCTGCTGTCATCCCCTCCTCCTAATTTTAGGCTTCCTGCTATTTGCAGTCCCTGGAGGATGGGCTGTTGACTCTGGGATCAAAACAGAAAAGCAGGTGAGCCCCATGGCGGGCTGTGCAGCTCCGGATGGGTGTCCTGCCCAACGCCAGAGCACTGCATTCTCCAGGGCATTTGACTTAGTGTCCCGGTGAGTTCATGGCCTGCTGCTGACCGCGCACCGACCCCCAAAGTCACTCTTTGCACCTGTAGGAGCTTTGGTCCGTTCAGCATGACCAGACTGGAGAGGGAGGAGACAGGCAGGGTGGGCAGAGAAACCGGAGTGACTCAGTGACTCAGAAAGTGGGACGCTCAGCGTGAGAGGTGTATCAGTCTGTGCTGCTGTAATAAAATCCTTAGAGTGGGCAATTACAAACAATAGAAATTGGCTGGGCACGGTGGCTCACGCCTGTAATCCCAACACCCTGGGAGGCCGAAGGGGCAGATCACAAGAGAGGCTGAGGCAGGAGAATCACTTGAACCTGGGATGCGGAGGTTGTAGTGAGCCGAGATTGTGCCACTGCACTCCAGCCTGGGTGACAGAGCGAGACACTGTCTCAAAAGAAAAAAAAAAATAGAAATTTGTCACTTACAGTTCTGGAAGCTGGGAAGTTCAAGATCAAGGCGCCACATCTGGTGAGGGCCTGTTGCCTGTTTCCTGGTTCCTAGATGGCACCTTCTACATGTCCTCACATGGAGGAATGGACACAGGGGCTGCCTCAGGCCCCCCTCCTTTTTTTTGAGACAGAGTCTTTCTCTATCGCCCCAGCTGGAGTACAGTGGCGTGATCTCGGCTCACTGCAACCTCCACCTCCCGGGTCAAGTGATTCTCCTGCCTCAGCCTCCCGAGTAGCTGGGATTACAGGTGCGCACCACTCCTGGCTAATTTTTGTATTTTTACTAAAGATGGGGTTTCTCCATGTTGGCCAGGCTGGTCTTGAACTCCTGACCTCAGGTGATCTGCCCACCTTGGCCTCCCAAAGTGCTGGGCTTACAGGTGTGAGCCACTGTGCCCAGCCATTAGGCCCCTTTTATACAGTCAGTAATCCGTTCCTGAGGGCAGAGTCCTTTCGACCTAATGACCTCCCAAAGGTCCCACCACCTACTACTATCACCTTGGGAGTGAAGCTATAACATAAGAATGCTGGGGGGAGAACAACATTCAGCTAATAGCTGGTGGGCTGCGGAGGGGGCAGAGGGCAGAGCTCTGTTCTCCCAGGGCTTGTCCACCGAGAGGGCCCCAGCCCACCAGCTGGGCCTTTTGGTAAGATCGCAAGGCAGATGGTCAATTCTGCAAAAAAGAAGCCTGGGTGCGTGGCTCACGCCTGTAATCCCAGCACTTTGGGAGGCCGAGGCGGGCGGATCATGAGGTCAGGAGATCGAGACCATCCTGGCTAACACAGTGAAACCCTGTCTCTACTAAAATACAAAGAAATTAGCCTGCTGTGGTAGCGGGCGCCTGTAGTCCCAGCTACTCGGGAGGCTGAGGCAGGAGAATGGCGTGAACCCGGGAGGCGGAGCTTGCAGTGAGCCGAGATCGCGCCACTGCACTTCAGCCTGGGCGACAGAGCGAGACTCTGTCTCAAAAAAAAGAAGAAAAAAATCTGGCACCACTTCCCCTAGTTCACTGAGAAAAGTGACGCCGTCTGGACACATACCCACAGTGGGACGCAGTGGAGAGGCCAGACCAGGGAAACTGAGGCCCAACCAGTGGGGCAGGTTTGAGGCAAGAGTAGTAGGAGGGGAGGGGGCAGGGGGTCCCCCCTCCAATGCCCTTGGCTGAGCACGGGTTCTTCTGAGCTCACCGGTGCTCGGAGCTGCCTCCCTGACTTGGACAACCATGTGGAATGGCCATCCCGCCCTCAACAAGTAGAGGCAACTTCCTCTCTACAGTGAGGAAATTGAGGCCCAGTGAGGAAGCCTGTGGCCAGGAGGGTGCTAGGGGTCCTCACAAAGTGTCCTGAGGGGACCCACCCCTCCCTTGATGCCAGACCACCTGGCCAGGCTGCAGGAGCAGGGCCCAGGGCCTCCAGGAGCCAAGGCCTGGCCAGGGCTCCATGTTCCCCGAGGCCTTTCTGACTCAGGCTCCTGGCCTCTGGGAGCCTGGCCCTTCCAGGGAGCCACAGGGGATGGAACCTCCATCTGGAGCAGGGGAGAAGGCATGGAGTCCAGGCTTGTTTGAGGGGCCAAGGCTGAGCCCCCTCCAGCCCCTTCCCTGCTCTGCCATTAGGACCTGGCTCCTCCCAACTTCTATACACATCACATGGGCCGCGTCCCCCCACTTTGCAGGCTGAGAACATCTGACGTGACCTGGGCACCTGAGGGGCACCCGGCACAGCAGGAGCATGGACCTGGAGAACCTCTGTTCTTCCGTGCATCAAGGTCCGAGTCGTGGTTCTGCCCCTTAGCAGCTGCGTGACTCTGGCCAAGCTCCTCCCGGCAACAGGCCTCAGTTTCCATATCTGTGGATGGCACTAATCACGATGATGACCTGAGGAGACCGTTCTGCTGATGGAGTGAGCAGAATCACAAAGCTCTCAGGGCCTAGCCCGGGGCATGGCAGGTCCGCAGGCGTCCAAGGGCACAGCACAGATGTGGGAGAAAGGGCTGCGGGGCCCTCCCGCTCCAGCCGAGGACACGGGGCTCAGGGATGGAGCCCAATACTGTCCCAGAGCTCTGCTGCCCAGGTGCCTCTTGGGGAAACTGAGGCTCAGTCCCACAAAGGCATCAGTCCCACTGAAGACAGGGCCGAGTCCCCAGCCCCTCACCCCCCTCCAGGGGTCTGTGCCACCTCCAGGGAGCCGTGGCGGCTCCATGTCACCTGCGGGCAAGGGGCTGGTGTGGAAAGCCCCACGGCATGGTGGAAAGTCCGAAATTCTACAGGGGCCTCTTTGTTAAACCTCCATGCAAGAGGCTGGGTGACGCCTGCCCACAGGGGTCAGGCCCCAGCCCAATGACACAGGTGACCCGCAAAGACTGCAGGTCTTTTTTAAAAAGTGAAGTGCAGACTTGGATCTCGCTTTGCAGTTTTTAATTCCCCTTTAACCATCTCTGGGCTAAGGCATCCATTGACTCACTTAACCATCTGGGGAGGGAAAAGCCACCGGGTTGCAGGGGGTGACTTTGGGGCAGGATGGCCTCTGAAGGGGTGGGTTGCCCCTCCACACCTGTGGGTGTTTCTCGTTAGGTAGAACGAGAGACTTGGAAAAGAGACACAGACAAAGTATAGAGAAAGAAATTGGGGGACCAGGGGACCGGCGCTCAGCATACGGAGGACCCCCGCTGGCCTCTGAGTTCCCTTAGTATTTATTGATCATTTTTGGGTGTTTCTCGGAGAGGGGGATGTGGCAGGATCATAGGATAATAGTGGAGAGAAGGTCAGCAGGTAAGCACGTGAACAAAGGTCTCTGCATCATAAACAAGGTAAAGAATTAAGTGCTGTGCTTTAGATATGTATACACATAAACATCTCAATGCCTTAAGGAGCAGTATTGCTGCCTGCTTGTCCCACCTCCAGCCCTAAGGCAGTTTCCCCCTATCTCAGTAGATGGAATATACAATCGGGTTTTATACCGAGACATTCCATTGCCCAGGGACGGGCAGGAGACAGATGCCTTCCTCTTGTCTCAACTGCAACGAGGCGTTCCTTCCACTTTTACTAATCCTCCTCAGCACAGACCCTTTACGGTGTCGGGCTGGGGGACGGTCAGGTCTTTCCCTTCCCAGGAGGCCATATCTCAGGCTATCACATGGGGAGAAACCTTGGACAATACCTGGCTTTCCTAGGCAGGGGTCCCTGCGGCCTTCCGCAGTGTTTTGTGTCCCTGGGTACTTAAGATTAGGGAGTGGTGATGACTCTTAACGAGCATGCTGCCTTCAAGCATTTGTTTAATAAAGCACACCCTGCACAGCCCTTAATCCATTTAACCCTGAGTTGACACAGCACATGTCTCAGGGAGCACAGGGTTGGGGGTAGGGTTACAGATTAAAATGGAGTCTCTTATGTCTACTTTCTATGCAGACACATTAACAATCTGATCTCTCTTTCTTTTCCCCACAGCCTCAAAGGAGAGGAAAGCCAAGTTGCTGGGAGCAACGGTTACTGGTCATCCCAAAGCTGTGTGCGCTGGTTCCCTGGCACCCCAGGGGCTTTTATGCATGAACTGTGCAGCCAGTGGGCCCAAGGGTTGCCATTGAACTTGATGTTAGTGAGCTCTCCCTTCGTGAGACCCCTGCCCATGGATGAGCAAGGAGAATGGGGGTGTTTCAGGAGCAGACAGGGATCCTGTGCAAAGCTGGGCTTCTGTGCAACTTTCGCTTGCAGTTATTTAAATATTTTTGCTGTAAATACAGAACTGCAGGGGAGAGGGCAGGAAACCCAGCGAGCAGCAGCCCGGCCTGGCTGGGGACAGGATGTGTCTGTTGGAGCGGGGACCGGCAAGGCAGGCATGCAGGCAGGGGGCTTCCCTCTCGGGGTCTTCGGAAGGCGCAGTGCAGGGAGTGAGAGACGCCCAGGCCTGGGCAGCGAGAGGGCCCTGCTCCCCGCTCAAGGCTCCCAGGACATTCCACACAGGAGCCAGCCTGTTCCAACCCTGCACTGCCTGATACTCCACAGCCACCACTGAGATGGACCCCCTCCCCCTCAGCTCCCCATGACGTCCCCAGCACCTGACCCCAGGCTGACCACCTCGGCCACCACCTCTGGCCCCACCTTCCTCCCCAGGTTTGTTCCCAAACACCCCTAGAGTCTTTTCCGGAGCAATCTCAGACGTGCAGAACGCTCAGGGGGACCCTGGGCCTGAAGGCGGTAGGAGAAACCGAGACCGACCCCTGGTCTAGAGGAGAGGTGTCTGCCGCTCTCCATCCTGGACTCTGGCTGCCCAAAAGCAAACGGCACGCCTGCCCACGTGGGAATCTTGGTGGCGTCTCTCACTGCATCAGTTAGCCCCCAGCCCAGTGCTGCCTGGATTCAGGCTTCCTGGTACCTTCGTCCACCCTTCAGCCCTAATCCATGCTGGCCAGGTCATCTCGTTCTCTGGCTCAGTGGGAACACTCGTGCCCAGAGACCTCTCGTGGTTCTCTGCAGCCTGCACACAGGGCCTGCTTCCCTGGCTTGACCGCACAGACAAGGGGACTGTTACCAAGGCCTCCCACTGAGGCCACCCCCCCTCCAGGCCATGCCTGCGGGGCCACCACAGCCTCAGCATCATTGCAGGCCCCAGGCCTCTGCACCTGGTCTTGTTTTACTGGGGGCACTGTCCCCACTCACGTCCACCTGGGACCCTCGGCTCCTGTCCACTGCAGCTCCCCTCCCGGACACCTTCCCAGATGCCCCCGGAAGCTCCTGTCCAGGCCACAGCATCCCTCAGCCTCTGTCACTGGTCCTAGGAAGACCCTTTGGGAGCTCTCACTCAGGGCCACACTCAGGACCCCCGTTGTGGGGCTGGCCGCCTTCCTTCTAAAGCACCTGGAGGAAGGAAGGAGGGGGTCAATGCGAGCCTCAATCCCCAGGCGAGTGTGCCCCTTTTAAAGATGAGGGAACCGAGGCTCAGAGAAGGAAAGGACTTGCCTGGCGTCACACAGCTAGCCTAAGATGGTGAGGTCAGGAGCTCCCTGGCAACACCCAGGCTGCCGTACCGTCTCCTGCATCAGACTGAGCCTCCATCGGGCTCCTCCCACAGCCCCAGGCGGGCCCCTGAGTAGGGGCTCTCAGCTTGTGTGGAGGTCCCCCAGGAACACCACCCCGATCCAGCCTCCATGGAGGCTCTTGCCGGCCACTGGGAGGGGCCGGTGCACCCTGGGCAGCCCCTGCCAGGGCCCTGAGACCCGAGCCTCCCCGCCGAGGGCACCTGTCTCGGCTTTGCCCCATTCGAGCAGGGCCCTCGCCGAGGCAGGACAGGGCCACATTCGGAAGTGAGAGTTCTCTGAGTCCCGCACAGAGCGAGTCTCTGTCCCCAGCCCCCAAGGCAGCTGCCCTGGTGGGTGAGTCAGGCCAGGCCCGGAGACTTCCCGAGAGCGAGGGAGGGACAGCAGCGCCTCCATCACAGGGAAGTGTCCCTGCGGGAGGCCCTGGCCCTGATTGGGCGCCGGGGCGGAGCGGCCTTTGCTCTTTGCGTGGTCGCGGGGGTATAACAGCGGCGCGCGTGGCTCGCAGACCGGGGAGACGGGCGGGCGCACAGCCGGCGCGGAGGCCCCACAGCCCCGCCGGGACCCGAGGCCAAGCGAGGGGCTGCCAGTGTCCCGGGACCCACCGCGTCCGCCCCAGCCCCGGGTCCCCGCGCCCACCCCATGGCGACGGACGCGGCGCTACGCCGGCTTCTGAGGCTGCACCGCACGGAGATCGCGGTGGCCGTGGACAGCGCCTTCCCACTGCTGCACGCGCTGGCTGACCACGACGTGGTCCCCGAGGACAAGTTTCAGGTGGGCTCCCCGCCCGCCCCCCGCTGCCCCCAGGCCCTGTGAGCCAGGGATAGTCCCCGGGGAAGTTCCAGGAGGACCCCGCCCCTCCAGATCCCCAAGCCCCTCCAGCCTTCCCCAACTCCCTCCCCACAAGGAGCCAGGGGCGTCCCTGATGACAAGTTAGAAGTTGGTCCCCTTCCCCCAGCCGTCCCCACACCTCACCCCCAAGCCAAGGGAATGGCCTCCAGGTTCCCCCAGCCCCACCCTCAACACCCCTACACCACCACCTGACTCCACCACAAGCCGAGGAGATGGGCGTGGAGCTGTCCAGGTCGCCAGCGCCTCTGCCTGGGAGCTCCACCCTCTAGTCATGATGGAGATGGGCAGGCCGCAGGGTGTGGGGGACCATGGCAGGGACCCTCATGCCACCCCACTGCAGGAGACGCTTCATCTGAAGGAAAAGGAGGGCTGCCCCCAGGCCTTCCACGCCCTCCTGTCCTGGCTGCTGACCCAGGACTCCACAGCCATCCTGGACTTCTGGAGGGTGCTGTTCAAGGACTACAACCTGGAGCGCTATGGCCGGCTGCAGCCCATCCTGGACAGCTTCCCCAAAGGTGGGTCCTGGTGGACTCAGCCATGCTGGGGGCCTGGGGCAGCTGCTGTCACCTGCTCAGCCCAGCTGGACTGGAACCGGAGTGGTGTTTGAGGAGCCCGTGGGTGATGTTCCAGGACCGTCTTGGATCCTAAGAGGCAAAGGGGCCAGGCCTCACCTGTCTGGCCAAGGTGTCCAGTTCTGGGGCCCACCCTACCCCTGGAGAAAACCCTGAGGTTGGGACCCTGCTCCTGCCCCTGAGCTGCAGATGTGGACCTCAGCCAGCCCCGGAAGGGGAGGAAGCCCCCGGCCGTCCCCAAGGCTTTGGTACCGCCACCCAGACTCCCCACCAAGAGGAAGGCCTCAGAAGAGGCTCGAGCTGCCGCGCCAGCAGCCCTGACTCCAAGGGGCACCGCCAGCCCAGGTACCCTCCCTGCAGGGGAAGCCAGCCAGGGTCTCCAGTCTTCCCGGGCTTCCCCGGGAGCCCACGCCCCCTCCCCACCCGGGCTCCCACCCACTGGGTGTGGGGCCAGCCTGCCTGGGGCTGTGGGGGTCTCCTCTGGGTACTAGACCCACACACTGGACCAGCCTCTCAGCTCCCTCCTGCCTGAAGGCTGAGCTCCCCGGAGCTGGTGAAGTAGGCGGGCGGGTCTCATTTCCCTTTTACTGATGAGAAACCAGAGCCCGGCAAAGGGACTACCCAGCACTGGACCGCCCCCTCCACGCCCTCCCACCGCGGGCCCCTGCCCACCGGCACTCACCCCCACTGAGAGGGGAGGCCAGGCTGCCCCCAGCTCCCCCATTCAGGCTCTCAACTGAAGGCCAAGCCCCCCAAGAAGCCGGAGAGCAGCGCAGAGCAGCAGCGCCTTCCACTCGGGAACGGTGAGCGGGGCCCAGTGGGAGCGCCTCCCTTCTCCCTGGCCAGGGGCAAGGGGTCAGGGGTCAGAGCAGGGCCTGCCCTCTGAGACCCTGTCCTAGGGGCTGGGGACGTGCTGGCCTGGTGTGTCATTCCAAGGGCCTAAGCTGCACCACCAGACCCAGGAAGGGGACACCTTGGGTCTAAGCATGATCTTGCCAGTCGCCCCTGCCCCCACTGCACCCTGGTTCTGGGACCCCCTTCTCAGGCACCTTCTCTGCCCGTCCACTCCCTATCCTTCAGGACCAGCCTAGACATAGCTTCCTCCAGAAAATCATCCCTGGCCCCCAGCTGCATGCAGGCTGAACCCTTCCTGTCCCCTTCTCCTTCCTTCCCAGGGCACTGGACTCCAGAGACCCCCTATCTCCCTGAGGGCAGAGCCTAGGAACTCTGTGTCCCTCCCGGCACAATACAGGGCCCATGTCATGGGGGGGTGGGTCTGGTCATTGGTCATGCCTTCCTATCCATTGTGCCAGCTCTGCTGACACTGCCACCCCCCAGCACACGCACACTTGGGTGCACACACGAACACACACATTCTCATGTCTCTGCACTTACCTGTGGGCTGTCTGCACATGGCAGGGCTGGGTCCCCTCCTTGGCCTGCCCTGGCTGGAAGGAAAGGGCTCTGCAGCCCAGTGCTGCCTGCTTCTGGCATAGAGTATGTGCTTGGGAACAGTCTTCCCCACGGGTGACCCCAATGGGTGTTCCCTTTCCCAGGGATTCAGACCATGTCAGCTTCAGTCCAGAGAGCTGTGGCCATGTCCTCCGGGGACGTCCCGGGAGCCCGAGGGGCCGTGGAGGGGATCCTCATCCAGCAGGTGTTTGAGTCAGGTAGACGCTGTGGCGGGGAGATGGGGCTGATGGGGAGACCCAGGCTCCAAGATGGAAGGAGGACCACGCCCCTTTGCATCCTGGTGGTCCCACAGCAGACCGGACTGTTGCTCAGGTAGCCAGAGTTTCTGCCTGTGGTTCTGCTGACTTTGGAGGAGGAGGGTGAGCACTGAAGTCTCCCTGTCGGGGGACCTTCTGCAAGGCCAGCGGTCCAGGCCCACATCCCCACCCGGGATGTACAGCACTCCCCAGTCACCTCCATCCATGTGCATGGGCCCTCCTGGGCCATGGGGTTGCATCCTTAGAAAGTTCTGCCTGTGCTGCTGAGACCCTCCAGGGTATCGGCATTCTTCAACCAGGACAGCCTGTAGCATAGCGTCCTTGCCCCCCATACCCTGGCCAGCCTGCAGCATCCTCGCCCGCCATTCCCTGGCCAGCCGCTGACCCCATGCAATCACCAGTGCCATCTGACCAGGGCACAGCAGGGCCGCTGGTGGCAGACCCACCGTGCCATCGGGGCATTCCATCTCAAGTCCCTGACACGGTGTCTCCTCGGTGCTGGACATGGGCTGGGAACACCAAGCACAGCCAGGGCCCTGGTCTTGCACCTCTGGATGGTCCCAAGGCCCACTGTGTTACTTCCTAAGGCTGTTGGTTAAATTGGCACAAACTGGGAGGCTTGAAATGACAGAAATGCCAACATCGAGGTGTCTCGGGGCCACACTCCCTCTGGAGGCTCCAGGGAAGAATCCTTCCTTGTGTCTCCCAGCTGCTGGTCATTATGGGGGTACCCCTGTGCTCCTTGTTCCTGGGCTCAGGACCCACCGCTCCAGCCTCTGCTTCTGTGGTCTCACAGCTGTCTCCCACGTGTCCTCTTTATAAGGACACCAGTCATTGAACTTATGGTCCAGTGTGACCTCATCTTAACTAATCACATCTACAAAGACCCTGATTTCAAGTAAGGTCACACTCTGAGGTTCTGGGTGGACGTGAACTTCGGGGGACGCTGTTGAACACCCTGGTGTAGATCCAGGACAATCCCCGGGCCCCAGACTCGACTGGGGTGGGGGCGGGCTGGAGGAATGCAGGCTGTGGGAACTCCACCTGTCTCTGCTAGACCCCACCCTGGGGCCTACACGACTGCCAAGGCAGGTCCTGCTGGGCGGGTGAGCCAGGACCAGCCGGCATCTCCTCCCAGGCGGCTCCAAGAAGTGCATCCAGGTTGGCGGGGAGTTCTACACTCCCAGCAAGTTCGAAGACTCCGGCAGTGGGAAGAACAAGGCCCGCAGCAGCAGTGGCCCGAAGCCTCTGGTTCGAGCCAAGGGAGCCCAGGGCGCTGCCCCCGTAAGCACCTGACCTTCCCTGGGGAGCCTGGCTCTTGATGCCCCCCGCCCCAGGAACAGCGTTGCCTCTGGGGGAGTGGCTCTGCTGGGGGCTGGGGGCTGCTGCCGAGAGACGCCTGGTGCCACAGCCATGTGCACCCTCGCTGCTGAGGCTGCCCCCATTGCTGACGCCCCTCTTCCTTGCAGGGTGGAGGTGAGGCTAGGCTGGGCCAGCAGGGCAGCGTTCCCGCCCCTCTGGCCCTCCCCAGTGACCCCCAGCTCCACCAGGTAATGCCCTAGACCACAGGAGAGGCCCCTGTCTGCCCTTGCTCCCCTCGGGTGGGTCCTGCTGCCTCTGCCTTTACCTGGGCACTCAGGGATGAGCACCGGGGCCTGAGCCCCTACCCACAGGGTACAGCTCTTTTTCTTTAATAGACAGTATTTTTTTCCTGATAATACGCAATGGTAATAGTTTAAATGAGTCAGAGAAAGTGAGGTCTTCTCAGGCTCTTAAGAGCATGGCGTTTGGTCCAGGCTGTACCCGCTGCTCTCAGCTGGGCCCGTGGGTGGGCCGGGCGCCCCTGCTATAGCCAGGAGGTCAAGGATCCACTGGGAATGCCATGCTCATCTTTCGTCCCCAGCATGGTTTCTTAATGGGGTAGAAGCAGTGTGGGGGGTGCCTGCCGTGGTGGGTTACAGATCTTGACCACTTGGCACCAGGGGCTCTGTGGGGCCCTGGCACTTAGCAGTGACAGGAGCCAGTCCTGCCCTGCAGGAGCACCCGGGCTGGTGGGCGTCTGGGGGATTGTTAGAATGAGTGAGGTCATTGCCGTGCAGGACCAGCCTAGCCTGGCTGTCTGGGGGGATTCTGGAGGAAGTGGTACCTGGGAGACCCCTGAAGGCACAGCAGGCACCATCCAGGCAGGGCACAAGGACGGTGGGGGCTGCAGGTGGAGGATTCAGCAGGCGCTGAGGTCGGGAGAGACCTCCCTGGGCCTGGCCCCACTGCCCTGTGAGGAAGGGTTCATGTGGTTGGTGTACAGTTCCGGGGCCCCTGGAACGCAGCAGCCTGCAAGAAACCGGGTTTTCTTCCCAATAGGGATGGCCCCGGGGGGTGTCTGTTGGAGACCAGATGGATGGGGAACAGGTGGTCAGGGCAGAATTTCAGGCCCTGGCAGCATGGGAGCAGGGCAGAGACTGGGGAGTTCAGGTACCCAGAGATGCTGCTGGGGGAGCTGTTTTGGGAAGGAGGTGGCTCTCAGGAGGGTGCTGCACCCCAGCCCAGTCTGCATGGGCGTCTCTTGCCTGTGCCAGAAGAATGAGGACGAGTGTGCCGTGTGTCGGGACGGCGGGGAGCTCATCTGCTGTGACGGCTGCCCTCGGGCCTTCCACCTGGCCTGCCTGTCCCCTCCGCTCCGGGAGATCCCCAGGTGAGCCTGCACCTCTGCCAGCGCAACCAGGCCACCCCGGTTCACGGCCGCCTCCACCCACTGACCCTGAAGGGAAGCCACCCCAAGCCTCTCCCA
The DNA here is from genome assembly GCF_000001405.40 of Homo sapiens. Taxonomy (NCBI): domain Eukaryota; kingdom Metazoa; phylum Chordata; class Mammalia; order Primates; family Hominidae; genus Homo; species Homo sapiens. The sequence goes on from NC_000021.9 coordinate 44,291,307, forward strand.
TCCAAGATGGAAAGGGGTTCTGAGTCAGGTCACTGGGCCGTGGGGCCGGGGCCTGGGGTTTTCCCACCCTGCCACCTGCCTCCCGGTCTGGCCACACCTGCTGCCCAGCCTGGACAGCTGGGCCCCTGAGGGCAGCAAAGCAGAACAGAGGCCCAGGGCGAAGATGCCACCCTGTCCAAGCTCATCCCAGGCTGCAGCCCACGCCCCCATGGGTAGCCGGCCCCCACCCCCAAGCCCCACCCCAGAGTCCCACTCCAGACAGGGCTGGGGAGCACAGAGGCCACAGAGCTGTGCCCCCCAGGGCAGGTGGGAGTTTGTCCACCAATGCACAGGACGCCGGGCTTAGTGGGGGCGGGAGGCCTCCTCTGCGTTCACATCCCGGTGCTCCTTCCCCACGGCCCACCGAGCCCTGCCCCCATTCCAACCCCACAGGACGTGGCAGTCTGTGGGAGGAAGAGCTCTGGGTGCAGTGGGGACCCACGTTCAGGCGAGGCTCTGCCCCAGCCCCTGAGTGGCCGTCATCAGGCCCCCTCTCAGCCTTGTGCCTCATCACTAGAATAAGGGGCACAGTGGGGGTCATTGCTCGGCTCCTGAAGCCGTTCCTCCTTGCCGTCTCTTTCTGCCCTTGATCACCTCCCCATTCTGCTGGGTGCCATTCCCCTTAACAGGTGGGTCAGTTTAGGGAGGCCCCCGGCAGGGCCCAGCCCTGAGAGGCAGGCAAAGCCACCAGGGCTCGCAGGTGTTGGGGATTCCTGGGGTTCATCAGAGAGCACGCCAAGGGGACCCTGATCACGCTGGCCAGGGCCACCCCACGAAGGGTAAATGTCCCCCTGCTGGGCTCTCCCTTCCTGTGTCTCTGCCCATCTCTCTGCTGTGCCTCGGTTCCCCCTCTGTGAAAAGACATGGTCGGAGCCCTGGAGCTCCACCCGTGGGTTTGGGGATCTGTCACCCGCTGTCTTGTTCTGCATGTCTCTGACTGGTGGACACACGAGCAGTGGGACCTGGAGGTGCTCCAGCTGCCTGCAGGCAACAGTCCAGGAGGTGCAGCCCCGGGCAGAGGAGCCCCGGCCCCAGGAGCCACCCGTGGAGACCCCGGTATGGCCACGCCCCCTCCTAGCCGGGCCACCCCTCCTGTCCACATGGCCACGCCCCCTCCTAGGCTGGGCCACCCCCTCCTGTCCGTCTGTCCCCTGGAGTCCTGTGGGACAGGACTGCCCCAGCCATAGCACTATGTCCCCCATGCCCAAGCCCGGTCCTTGTGGTCTCCTGCAGTGGAGTCCCCATCATGGTTCCTGTGGGCCTAAACCCAGCTCTCCTGGCTGCGGGTCCACCCCGGGGGGCACTATGAGCATTGATAACGGCCCCGGAAGATGTGTTCCTTGTTCTGCTGCTGTGAGGGTAGTAGGTCTACTGTGCACAGACCCAGTGTTCCCTCTGACAGCCCTGAGGGCCAGGGGGCCCCCCGTGTGTAGACGGGGGAGGAGGGAGGACCACAGAGCCAGGAAGTGCCACAGCCTTTCCCACTCAGTGTGGACGCCTTCCACCATGCCAGCCCTCCGCCCCCACCATGCCAGGCCTCTGCCCCCACCCTGCTGCCCTGGGTTTCAGGGTCCCAGCAGTCACTGACTCCTGGGTGGTGCCGGGCAGGCGCCCGCTGCCCCTCTGATGCTGACCCTTGGGTTCCAGCTCCCCCCGGGGCTTAGGTCGGCGGGAGAGGAGGTAAGAGGTCCACCTGGGGAACCCCTAGCCGGCATGGACACGACTCTTGTCTACAAGCACCTGCCGGCTCCGCCTTCTGCAGCCCCGCTGCCAGGGCTGGACTCCTCGGCCCTGCACCCCCTACTGTGTGTGGGTCCTGAGGGTCAGCAGGTGAGCGGGGAGTGGGGGTCAGGGTGGGCTCTTCAAGGAGCCCAGGACCTACGGGGCGGATGAATTCACCTGAAACAGGAGGAGAGGGAGGCCAGGCGAGAAAGGCTCCGGGAGGCACAGGGCCTGGGGCTGTGGGGGGAGCGTGGGGGGCTGCGGGGGGAAGGGGACGCTCCTAGACCTCCACTCCAGCTCCTGGCCCTGGGCATTACTGCTCCCCCCACAAGGCAGGACAATGAAGGGGGGGATGTCCCAGCACACGTGGGAGCCCTCCCCTCCCTGCCTCAATTCCCTTCCCTGCACCCCTGTGGGCACCGCCTTTCAGGAGACTCCCGCACTCAGCCCCAAAGGAGGCCAGGCCCGCCAAGCAGGAGAGAGGTGCGGGCGCCAGGCTTGCAGGCAGCAGCCTGAGGGTGCTTGGGTCGCCCCTGCCTCCTGGGGATGGGACTGGTCCCGCTGTCCTGCAGCCTGCGTGGCACCGTGAGGCTCCTCACTTGCGCCTAGACCCGCCGTCCAGCCCTGGGTGGTCCCAGGGGAGAGCGCACAGGGCTCGGGTTCGGGTTCAGCTACATTTCCCCCGGCCCCCCGCGTCACCCCGCGCTGTTGCCTCCCACAGAACCTGGCTCCTGGTGCGCGTTGCGGGGTGTGCGGAGATGGTACGGACGTGCTGCGGTGTACTCACTGCGCCGCTGCCTTCCACTGGCGCTGCCACTTCCCAGCCGGCACCTCCCGGCCCGGGTGAGTGAGCGTGGTCGGCGGGGAGGCCTGAACCCACACCCACACCCTACACCCCACCCCACACTCCCCACCCACATCATACAGCCCACAACCACACCCCACCCACACCCCACACTCCCACCCACACCTTGCACCCCACCCCACACCCATGCCCTGCACCCACACCCTACACTCCACAGCCACACTCCACCACACCCCCACCCACACCCTACTCCCCACCTCATACCCTGCACCTCACCACACTCCACAGCCACACCCCACCCCACACCCCACACTCCCACCCACACCCTACACCCACCCCACACCCTACACCCAACCCAAACCCACCCAAACCCACCACTCCCACTCTCCACCCACACCCACACCCCTTCCTCACACCCCACACCCCCATCCCCCACTCACCACCCACGCCCACACCCCACACCCCATACCCCGGAGGTGGCACTCCTGCTCCCCCCCAGGGCTGGCAGCCCCTCATCCTCTGCTGCAGGACGGGCCTGCGCTGCAGATCCTGCTCAGGAGACGTGACCCCAGCCCCTGTGGAGGGGGTGCTGGCCCCCAGCCCCGCCCGCCTGGCCCCTGGGCCTGCCAAGGTCAGTGCCGCAGGGGCCCTCCATGCATGCCGGTGCTGGGGGTGGGGAACCCCTTGGGTTGGTGTTGGGGGAGCACATCTCAGGGCAGACCCTGGGTGCCAGCTTCGAGGGCTTGCACCAGACGCACTGACCATGTGCTCATTATCTGTAGAAAATATTTCCCCTTTAAACCAATTCTTTTTGGCAACTTAAATATAGTTAAAAAGGAAGCTCCCCCCGAGGGTTGGTGGCTGACGTCACGGTTGGCTGTGTGGCCGCCTCACAGCATGAGCCTGAGAGTCCTGCCAGGGCTCCCTGGTGGGGTGAAGGGAGAGCGGGAGCGCCCGGCCTGCAGGAGCAAACCCCCACCCTGTCTGACCCCTCCAGGTTGTCTCACCCCCAGCCCTCCCTGGGGCCAGGATCCACCCCACTGTGTGGCCAGAGCCCTCTCAGAGAGGCAAAGTGACCCCGGGTCCAGCCAGTAGCTCTTCCTGTCCTCCTGCTCCGGGGTCAGAGAGGACCTGGGTGGCGCGGAGACCCCTGACTGCTGGGGCGGCTGGGCTTGCCCTGGAGCTGGGTGTGGGGGAGGCCCGAGTCGCTGCTGCAGGAGCCTCCGGGGGGGTGGCCTCTTGCCCTGACCGTCCCCAGCAGAGGCCTCCTGAGCACATCCTGGCCACCGAGGAGCCTTTAGGGATCCTGGGGTGATGACACGTCCCACCTGCTCCACTGGCCCATGCTCTTTCCCAGCTGTGCCTCCGCCCCGTATACACCGTGTGGGTGACAGGCCACCCCGGCGTGGTACTCCCCAGGAGGGTGACAGCCTACCCCAGCGTGGTACTCCCCGGGCAGGTGACAGGCTTCCCCGGCATGCAGGCTCTGGCCTGGCATGGCACAAGCCTCAGACCCAGCCCTGCCCTTGGGGCTTTTGTGGAACAGTGGCGTGGCCCACAGCTGTCACTGTCCCCTTCCTTCTAGAAGCCTCCCTCCTCACACCACCCATCTGGAGTCAGGAGCCCAGCCGGGCATATACGCAGATGCCCCTCCCTAACCCCAGGCAGCTTTCCTGCAACTGCTCCCGCAGCGGGTACCTCGTCATTAACCTCCTGGGTTCTGTCTCTGAACAGCAGAGACCTCTTTCTTGTCATCGTGATGTGAAATGTAACGCCATGTCAGAGGAAAAGTTCTGGCTGGCCTTGGCCTCCCCCCTCAGCCTGCCCCCTTCCTCCAGGGTGGTTGGACGTGGCCCCAGACCCCATCCTGAGCAGCTCTCCCACCCCCTGGGAGCATCCTTAGGACCGGGGAGCATCCAGGGGCTTTCCCCTCCAGACCGGGCAGCCCCTCCCTCAGCCATGCAGGGCTGCCGGGCCTCGCAGCGCCAGTGTTCACCCGAGTGGAGGAGCTGGGATGTGGCTGTTTGGGGCCACAAATGGGGAATTCCACAGGGTTCAATGTAATATGGTCTCCTCTCTGCTGGGGGTGCCTGCCTGGGGACCTTCTCCCACTCTGGTCGCTCACCTATAGTGTGGGCTGGCCCTGGTGGTGCTTGTCGGGGGCGGGGGTGGCATGGACCAGGCACTTTCCTCTCTGGGCCTCAGACTTCCCCTCTCAGAGTGGGACTCCTTGCTGGTTCCCTGAGCTCCCTCGTTTTCCCCAGGAGGCCACACAGTGTGGAGGCTGTCTGGGGGCCGTGGGCAGCTGGCCGTGGGCAGGACCCTGGGGAGGCAGCCCCAGCCCCATCATGCCCACGCAGCCCTGTGCCCCCACCCCCAGTGGAGCTGGGTGTAAGAATTCCCATCTCAGTGTGGGGGAAACACCCCCGCGGCCCCTAGGCCCTGCGGCCTCTGTACCCCCACCAGGGCTGTGGGAGTTGGGCTGACCTCTTCTCTTTACTGGGTTCCAGGATGACACTGCCAGTCACGAGCCCGCTCTGCACAGGGATGACCTGGAGTCCCTTCTGAGCGAGGTAACGCCTCCCCTGGCCTCCTGGTGCTCCTCCACTCCCCCTCCCCTGCCTCAGCCGGCACCCAGGCTCCCCACTCTGGGGGAGGACTGCCGGCCCCCACTGCTCTTGAGCCGTGGAAACTCAGGCTGTCCCTGCTCCACCCACCAGGAGCCCCAGTGCTGCTGAGCACCTGGCACCCCCCACAGGAGCCCCCCTAGCCCCCTTGCAGGAGCCCCCCCCGGCCCCTCCCCCTGCGGGAGCCCAGTGCTGCTGAGCGCCCCCAGCCCCTCCCCAACAAGAGCCCCCACACGGCCCCTCCCCTGAGGGCCTGCACCCTGGCAGGCAGAGGCTCGAGCACCAGGCTCAAGATCCACTTTCCCAGGGAGGGTGGGGCGTGGGAGTGGGGGGGGGGTCCCAGACCCCGTCCCTCTAAGATTTGCTTGCCCCTCCCAACTCAGGCCTCTCTACGCTAAGATGGGCAGGTAGAATCTGTGGGGAAAATGTGACTTTTAAGGGCTCTGTCTGTTTTTGCCAAGAGGATAAGCTCCTTCAGCCTCCACGGGTTCTCCTCAGTGTCTGATGTGGCACCCGGGGGTCCCAGCTGACCATGGGGCAGGGGTTCTGCCCTGTGCAGTGGCCGTGCCCCACACACCCTGACCGTGCAGGTGTCTGCAGAGCCCCAGGGCCTGAGAGTGGGCCAGGGGGCCCAGCGCTGGGTAATGGAGCTGCCCCTCTGGATGGGGTCCCCGGGTATAGCTGGAGAAATGAGCGACGGGCTCACAGCCTCTCCCGGGTGGCGGTCTTATTCTGCTGGCATCGTGGGGCCCGTGGCCCCATCCTGTGGGAGCATCAGGCTCCTGAGCAGAATAAGTAGCTGGCCCCGACCCCCCCACCCTGAAGGAGCCACCCGAGGAGGCAGAACTGCCATGAACTGCCATGGGGATGTGCCCTGGGCTTATAGGATGTGGTGAAGTACACAGGACAGGGTCCTCGGTCTGGCCTGTGCCATGGGGACCTTGGGCCTCAGTTTCCCCACCTTTGATGGAATACGGTGAAGTGCACAGGACAGGGTCCTCCCCAGACTGGCCTGTGCCATGGGGCCTCGGGCCTCAGTTTCCCCACCTTTGACTTAGAGGGAAGGTTGGATGGTGACTTCTTGTAACGATGGCCATGATTCTGTGGCTGCGGCGGGGGCGCACCTGGAGGTTCTCACCGTCACTCTGTCCCGCAGCACACCTTCGATGGCATCCTGCAGTGGGCCATCCAGAGCATGGCCCGTCCGGCGGCCCCCTTCCCCTCCTGACCCCAGATGGCCGGGACATGCAGCTCTGATGAGAGAGTGCTGAGAAGGACACCTCCTTCCTCAGTCCTGGAAGCCGGCCGGCTGGGATCAAGAAGGGGACAGCGCCACCTCTTGTCAGTGCTCGGCTGTAAACAGCTCTGTGTTTCTGGGGACACCAGCCATCATGTGCCTGGAAATTAAACCCTGCCCCACTTCTCTACTCTGGAAGTCCCCGGGAGCCTCTCCTTGCCTGGTGACCTACTAAAAATATAAAAATTAGCTGGGTGTGGTGGTGGGTGCCTGTAATCCCAGCTACATGGGAGCCTGAGGCATGAGAATCACTTGAACTCGGGAGGTGGAGGTTGCAGTGAGCTGAGATTGCGCCACTGCACTCCAGTCTGGTCGGCAAGAGTGAGACTCCGTCTCAAAAACAAAACAAAACAAAAAAACCACATAACATAAATTTATCATCTCGACCACTTTTCAGTTCAGTGGCATTCACATCTCATGTAACCATTGCCACCACCATCTGCAGAGCTGTTCCAGCTTCCTGAATGGAAACTCTGGCCCCATGAAACACTCACTCCCCATTCCCCTCCCAACCCCTGGCACCCTCCACTCTACTTTCTGTCTCTATGACTTCTCCAGGGACCTCATGGAAGTGGAATCACACAGTATCTGTCCTTTTGTGTCTGTCTTATTTTACTCAGCATGGTGGCCCCAAGGTTCATCCATGTTGTAGCATGTGCCGAAATCTGCTTCCTTTTTTAAGGCTGAGTAATATTCCAGCACATGGATGGACTGCATTGTGTTCATCTATGCTTTCCTCAGCAGACACCTGGGTGCTTCCACCTTTTGGCTGTTGTGAGTAATGCTGCTATGAATATGTGTGTGCAAATATCTGTGTGAGTCTTTGAGTAAAATCGCTGGATCACATGGTAATTATATTTTTAATTTTTTGAAGAACTGCCATCCTGTTTTCCACAGCAGCTACACCATTTCACATCCCCACCAACACTGCATGAGGGTTCCAGCCTCCCCATATCCTTGAAACAATTACTATTTTCTGCATTTTTCTTTCTTTTCTTTTCTTCTTTTTTTGAGACGGAGTTTCGCTCTTGCTGCCCAGGCTGCAGTGCAATGGCGCAGTCTCCACTCACTGCAACCTCTGCCTCCTGGCTTCAAGTGATTCTCCTGCCTCAGCCTCCTGCATAGCTGGGATTACAGGCGCACACCACCATGCCCGGCTAATTTTTGTATTTTTAGTAGAGACGGGGTTTCACCATGTTGGCTGGGCTGGTCTCGAACTCCTGACCTCAGACCTCAGGTGATCCACCCCCCCCCCCCCCCCCCACCCCACGGGCCTCCCAAAGTTCTGGGATTATGGGCGTGAGCCACTGCGCCCAGCCTGTGTTTTTCTTTTATAGTAGCCATCCTAATGGGTATGAGGTGGTACCTCATTGTGGCTAAACCATGTACGTTTAAGAATTTACACACACACACACACACACACACACACACACGTGATGAAGCTGTAAGAAAAGGGAGAGAATAATGACCCAAAATGTCAGCACAAGGATGCCTCAGGGGTAGACACAGGTGTCTTCTTAGCGCCTTTTAGCCCACGCATATGTGCTTGCGCAGTCTCTCGGTGTGTTTTCTAACATTTCACAATTAAATAAGGAGTAGTTGATATTCACAGCCACCATTTCCACCGTATATGTAGAGAAAAATGCTCAAATCCTAGCGATCAGCCCGCTGAGCTTTCACAAACCGAACACACCGTGCGGTCACGAGGCGGCTCTCCCGAACACCGGCTCTGCACCCCCAGGGCCCGGGGAACCAAGACTTCCCCAAGGGCCCAGCAAAAGTGAGGGAGGAGGGGAGGAAAGGAGGGAGAGGGAGGGAGGAGTGCTGGCTGCTTTCCGCCAGCGCCTCGTTTGGGTTTCGCTCTGCTGAGGCCTGAAGGCGCCCTGAGGGCCCCTGGGGGGCAGGGAGGGGCGGTGGCTGCGGCCGACAGCAAGGAACCTCCGGAGAAGCGAAGCCGGGCCAGACGTGCCACCGGGGCCTCGGCGCTGGCGAAGGGGCGCGTGCGGCCGCACTGGGGCCAGCCCCGCCCTGGTCCCCGGCCACATCCTCGAGACCACCGGGGTGGAGGGGGGGGTCTCACTGCTCAGGGCCCGCGTGACATTGCACAGGTTTAGAAACGCACAGCGGGAAGGTGGCCCCGGCGGGCCGAGGGCGCAGGATCCCTGCTCCGTCCAGGGTCCGTCCTGCGAGGAGGCGCCGGGGGCGGGCCCGGGGCGGGGCGGGCGGAAGGCGCGCGCGGGGCGGGGCGGGGACGGCGACGCGGCGCAGGCGGCGGGAGTGCGAGCTGGGCCCGTGTTTCGGCCGCCGCCATGGCCGCGGTGGACCTGGAGAAGCTGCGGGCGTCGGGCGCGGGCAAGGCCATCGGCGTCCTGACCAGCGGCGGCGACGCGCAAGGTGGGCGGGGGTCCCGGCCGCGTCGCGGCGCAGGGGGTGGAGGGCGCCTCCGCCCTGGCCTCTCCGGAGCGCCCGCCGAGCCCCGGGACCCGGGTCTCGGGCCGGCCCGGCCTCCCGCCCCGGCCTCCCGCCCCGGCCTCCTGCCCCGGGTCTGTCCCCCGCTCTTCCCCGGCGCGGTCTCCGGCCTACGTGCGGCCGGCCACGTTCTCGGCCTCCGCCTGGGTCTTGGCGCCGCCCGCGCCCTGCCCCGGGGGTGTGTCCGACTCTGGGCCGCGGGGCAGGACCTCCCGAGGAGTCCCCGAGGCCACGCGAGCGGAGGGCGCCGGTCCCGCCACCCCCAGAGCCTGGCCCTTCCTGGTTCTGAAGCGACCCGGGGACCCGGTGCCTCCCGAGGGCCGGCGCCAGGCTGCGGGCTTCCGGGACCTCCTCCCGGCTGGGCGGGGGCGGACTCACTCCCGGACCGCGCCTCCTCCTCGGGGCCCTCGCGGCCGCCTTCCTTGTGGGTCTAGCTGGGGAAGAGGGCGGTGGGGAGATGGGCTGCCCGGGGCATTGAGCAAAGCCCAGTTGTCACCCTTTTCGCAGGGGTACTGGGGAGGCCTCAGGTGGTGGGGACTGGGACTTGGCAGAGCTGGGTGGGGGTCCGGCCTGAGGGCGTGGTGTCCTCGCACGCTCCCTCCCGGAGGCCTGGTCCTGCCCACTGCCGGCCTCCAGTGTCTCTGGCCTGACATGTCCAGTGTGGCACCTGTGGCACAGGACGCCACCTACCCTACCCCTCAGGAGGAGAGAGGAGAGGATTTAGGAGACCAGAAGTGAGGTGCTGGGTTGGGAAGGGGCCCAGCCAGCACCCCAAGGCTGTGCAGCGGGGTCTGGTCTGTCTTTTAGAGTTCAGAAAATGGTTGAGAAAATGCGGACACACACCCCCACCCAGCTTCAGGCACCTGACCCTCCTTTTCCCTATCTGGAAGCCAGGAAGAGGCGAGAAGGAAGCCGGCCTTGAGTGGGACCAAGCCAGGGAGGCAGGAGTGGCTCGTGGGTGTCACTGTCTGAACCCCGGCCTGCAGAGGGGGCTCCTTCAGACCTGGCTGAGCCAGGCCTGTGGTGGCTGCCCACCCGCCCTTTTCACAGCTGTGGCAAGAGCGGGAGCTGCTGCTTGTTGCCGGCTACTGGCAGTGTCCTGGAGCCAGTGTGGCTCCACAAGTCCTGTCCTGTGTGGCTCTGGGTCACGCCTTTCCTGTGGGCCAGGGGTCCGTGTTGTCGAGAGGGGAGGGCGTTGTTCAAGGATGTCTTTTTGCACAATAACCTGTGCAAAGGTAGCTAGAAGACTTGAAGCAGGCCGGGTGCGGTGGCTCACACCTGTAATTCCAGCACTTTGGGTGGCCTGGTGGGTTGTGGGCCCAGGTGGGAGAGGAGGCCCGTGGCCTTGGAGGGTGAACTCGGGAAGCTCCATCCCATGAGATTAGACAAGAAAGGCCCCGAGTCTGGAGGGCAGACAGGTTGCTGTGGGGCCAGCCCGCCTGCCCACCAGGGAGGCGCTTTCTTGGTGAGGCTGGTGAAGCCCCAAAGCCCACCTGTGGTTCCCTGAAACACAGAGGGTCCCCAACCAGCTTCCTTGTTTGCAAAGTGGGAGCATCAGCAGTGGAGGGTTGGGAAAGTTGAGAGCCTGGGGTGGCACGTGCCCCCCCCACCCCCTGCCACCCCATGCACAGACTAAACAGAGAAGGGGGGCTCGCTGGAGGTTGCTGAAGGGCCAGCCTGGCAGGTGGTTCTTGGGCCAGCGGGGAGGGGCACCCAGGGTGACAGGCGGTTCTGGATGCTGGTGGAGGATCTGGAGATGGGATGCCCCTCCTGGCCCTGTGGACAGGCCGGCTGGGTGGGCCTCCCATCTCTGTCTGAGCTGGGGGTTCCAACTGCTCAGCCTGGCCCCAGTGCCTGATATGGAGTGGGCAGCGCTTCCTGGCTGCAGCTGGGAGGGTGCCCACAGTGCACCTGCTGGCCGATCATGGCATCCCAGTTGGGCCTGTGCCTTCCTCTGCAAATGTCCTCCCTTCCCAAGCCCCGTGCAGCTGCAGCGTCTCTGTATGTGAGCTCCCATGCGTGGACAGGGAACAGGTGGTTTTCTGCAAGGGAGGAGGACTCCACACACTTCCCCAGTTCAGGGCTGGGGCTGATTCATGGAGGATGATCTGGGGCGAGTAGGATGGGAGGAACTGACATTCTGGGCAGAACCAGAGTCCTGTTTCATGAGTTCGGAAAAGCAGTCTGCAGGGCTCTCCCAGGCCACCACTGCTGCTGCCGTGTGGCTCCCCATGGTGGGTGCTCTGTTTTCCTTCTCGGGGCCCCACTGCCTTCCTAGAAAGGCTGACCCTGGCCGAGGGGAAGCCTGTGGCATAGTGTGCCCTTCTCTTTGCCCTCTATGTCAGCCGGGCAGCAGGAGAGTGGGGACTGGGAGGCACTTTCTGCCCCAATGCTGAAGTCTGCGTTTGTTGGATGTATGGAACAGCCAGCCTCACCATCCTGCCAGTGTTGCCCAGTCCTGGGACTTCTCGGGCCTTGATTTCCCCTTCTGTGAAAGGGGGTTGGGGACAAGACAGGCCACCTTGCAAGTTCCTTCCAGCCAGCCCACAAGTCCTGTCCTGTGTGGCTCTGGGTCACGCCTTTCCTGTTGGCCAGGGGTTGGTGCTGTTGAGCAGGGGAGGGCGTTGTTCAAGGATATCTATTTGCACAATAACCTGTGCAAAGGTAGCTAGAAGACTTGAAACAGGCCGGGCGCGGTGGCTCACGCCTGTAATTCCAGCACTTTGGGAGGCTGAGGCTGGTGGATCACCTGAGGTTAGGAGTTCAAGACCATCCTGGCTAACATGGTGAAACCTCGTCTCTACTAAAAATACAAAAAATTAGCTGGGCATGGTGGTGCGCATCTGTAATCCCAGCTACTCAGGAGGCTGAGGCAGGAGAATCGCTTGAACCAGGAGGTGCAGGTTGCAGTGAGCCGAGATCGAGCCACGGCACTCTAGCCTGGGCGACAGAGCGAGACTCTGTTGCAAAAAACAAACAAGAAAAAACCCCAAAAATCAGCCAGGCGTGGTGGTACATGCCTGTAGTCCCAGCTACTCGGGAGGCAGAGGCAGGAGAATCGCTTGAACCGGGGAGGCAGAGGTTGCAGTGAGCCAAGATCCCGCCACTGCACTCCAGCCTGGGTGACAGAACGAGACTCTGTCTCAAAAAAAAAAAACAGACTTGACCAAAAAAAAAAAAAAAAAAAAAATGGCCCGGCCTGCCTATGCCTACCTTCATCTCGCCCTGGCCTGGGCACTTTTAATTCTCTGGGCCCTTTGTCTAGTGCCCCCTCCCTGCCCCTGCAGGACACCGTGCCCTGCCTTTCCCTGGCTGGTGTGTTTGGACGTTGGTTTCCTGTTATCGCAGGTGAGGACTTAGCTTCCTGGCCCGCCACGCCTCCCTGACATGGCCTCCTGTTTGGAGCCTTCAGGCTCATGCTTACATCCTTAGCTGATCATTAAACTTTGTGACCATTTCATGCTCACTGCTTTCTTGCCTGGGAGCTAATGGTGAGGAAAGGTCACTGGGAACCAGCGCACCAACCTCAGACATTGATTTTGTTCCAGCCTTTTTTCCTGGGCAGGGGTGGCTATCACCTGCTGGTAGGCAGCGGCAGGCCCACTGTCCTGCCTGCCCTCTGACTGCGGTGTCGGCGACTGCTGCCCGAGGTTTATTTTGAGAAAGAAAAGCCGATTAAAGGGCCATTAAAAAGGTCTTTTGAAGATTACAGCTTCCAATGAGGTTAACAGAGAAAATTTCCTCCTTCAGGCCGCAGCCAGTCCCGTTCTAAAATCCAGAACGTGTCCCTTTCCAGTCCCGTTCTAAAATCCAGTCCCAACAACAAAGTGGCCATGTGACATGGCCACTTTGTTCTCCTCCCAAGGGCTCAGCACAAAGCTGGGTTTTGGCAGCTTCATTGTCTCCGGGCGTCAAAGCAGGTTTTATTTTGCAGAGCACCCTGAAGACATTTGGAAGTGAGGGGTACCCTTGCTGACCCCTGATCCTGGGGCCCCTTTGCCGTTCCCAGGTCCCCTGACAAGCCCACCAGGCCCCCTGCTGAGATGGCTGTGACCCTGGGCTGACCCGCCCAGTGGCACATTGACTCCGCCTGGAGCTGGGGAGACCAGAGAGGCCCTGTGGTTGGACGGTGGCCTGGGTGCGCTGCTCCTGCCCTCTCCTTGCCCTGCCTCAGCTGCTGCCTGCCAGAGGTGGGCTTGGACCTGTGGTGGGACCAGGTCTGCAGGGAGGGCGAGGGAGGGACGGAGGCTTAGCTTCGGCCAGCTGTGGCTGAGTGGATCTCCCTCACTGCCCCCAACTCCAGTGAGGGTGGGGGACAGGGCGCTGCACTCACAGCACCACCTTGGACGCCCAGCCTCAGGCAGCAGGACTTGGCTCTGCTGACTGTTTTTGGTTGTCGGGTGCTTGGGGTGGCTCAGCTGTCTGGGGGGGGCTCGGCTGTCTGTCTCGGGGGGCTTGGCTGTCTGCGGGGGGCTCGGCTGTCTGGGGGGCTCGGCTGTCTTTCTGGGGGAGCTTGTCTGTCTGTCTGGGGGGCTTGGCTTTCTGGGTGTGTGTGGGATGCTTGCTGGGTTCCCGCCCCAGTTTCAGCTGTAGCAGCCGTGCTCCCATCTATGTGGGGATGTGAGGGAGGCACTGTTCCTTTAGAGACGGCGTTGCTTGCTCAAGTGGAGAAGCTGCCAGTGTGGGCAGCTCCAGCTCCCTGCACGCTCTGTGCTCTGCCCATTCTAACGTCTGTGCCCCTTCTTCTGGATGGCTGCCGGGCTTGGCTCTGGCCCCCCTGTTGGATCCCCTGGCTGCTGGGTGGGGAGAGGGCCACCTACTGAACCTGAGGGTGGGTCTGGGTGAGTCCTGGCTCTGCTGCCACCTGCTGGGCTCTGGAAGGTCCCTCACCCTCCCTCTGGGATCTCATTGGATTCCTGTAGTGTGGGGATGGTGGCAGATACTCTGGCTGCTACGTGAGAACAGTGTGCCGATCCCTGGGGTTTCTCAAGGCGTGGCACCTCACCTCACACCTGCTCCCTGCTGCTGAGCCCCACGCCAAGCTGGAGAGCGGATGAGAAGCATGTGTAACCAGGGTAGAGGTCGAGAGTCCTCTCGTGGGGGTCTCCATGTTCAAGGGAGCTGCCGAGGCTTGAGCAGGAGCCCCCAGCAGGTCAGCACCTCCAGCCTCTGCAAGTACAGGGGGGTGGGAGGGCAGGGGCTTTTGAGGGGCACGAGGCTTGGGGACAGAGGACCCGCATGGCTTAGGGATGGATGGCATGGTATGGGTGCTGGGAGGGAGGCAGGAAGAGCAGGGCTGGTCCCAGGGGCAAGCACAAACTCAGGCCTGTTACACGGCCCCAGACCTCACTCAGAAGGGGACCCTGGCCGCTGGCGTGGGTTTCCTCCTCTCTGAAGATTAGGTGGTCTTGGCTGCCCCTTTTGTATGAAGTCATGGATATCTTTTGAGATGGGGGCTCTCGGGAAGAAGGTGTGGGGTACATTAGCACCAGCGTTTCCTGAGTGCCGCCTCCCCCGTTAATGTCCCTCTCCAGGAAACTGGCTTTGCCAAGGCCCCCGCTGGGACAGACTGTTTCTTTCACTGCAGTCCTGGGAGCCGAGGGCAAGGGGACAGGAAAGAGGAAGTGACCTCAGAGCCTGGTGGCACCAGCATCATGTCCAGGCTGGGGGGTGAGGGTCCCTGAGGCCCTGGGGCAGGGCAGTGCTGTTCCCTGGGTGGCTGAGGCCGGAGGGGCTCTGTTCTCAGTCCCCCATCTCATTGCGGAGGAAGGAGCCCAAGCCCCTTCCAGCAGGTGCTTTCCTCAGTGCCCAGAGGTGCTCCCCGGCTTCTCCATCCCCACGCCGCAGCCTGAATGTCTGGGGTGGGGCCGGTGTGGGAGGTGCCGGCCTCTTTTCCACCTGCCCCACTTTTTATCCTGCTCTGTGGTCAAGGCCTGGCCCCGTGGCCTGTGAGTGTGGGGGCTCCGTGGCAGAGGTTGGGGCGGCGGGGTGTGGAGTTCGGGACACCCACACATGCCTGATTGCCATGCTCTGCATGGGATGTTCCCAGTTTATCTCTGGGCACCATACTCCAGGTGCTCGGAAGCTGAAGCCTAGAGCCTGCTGGGTTCACCCGAGCCTCCACCCGGGGGCCCAGGGCTGGTCCTCAAGTTTCCTGGCCTGGTGCCTCCTGAGATGGGGAGGGTGACCAGGCCTTCCCTACCCCCTGCCCTCTGAGATGGGGAGGGCGTCCGGGCCTTCCCTGACCCTTGCCCTCTTGAGATGAGGAGGGTGACCAGGGCCTTCCCCCACCACCCGCCCTCTGAGATGGACAGGGTGTCCAGGCCTCCCCTACCCCCTGTCCTCTGAGATGGGGAGGGTGTCCAGGGCCTTGCTTCTCAGCGTGGGACTGACAGGTTTGCCCTGACCTCCACAGGCATGAACGCTGCTGTCCGGGCTGTGACGCGCATGGGCATTTATGTGGGTGCCAAAGTCTTCCTCATCTACGAGGTAAGGCCAAGGTGGGCTGTGTGTGTGCAGGGAGTGGGGACCTCCTGAGGCGCATGCCGAGGTGTGTTCTGTGTGGGTCACACTGGGAGACGGGGTGGTCCTGGCCTGGAGGAGCTGATGGGTATGTGGTCTTGGGGAGTGTGAGGGGGAGCTTGGGGCCAGGCCAAAGGCATCTGCAGAAAGAAGACCTACTGCCTTGGGACTCAGCCCGGCTGGAGGCTCAGAGGCTGCAGAGCACGGGCCTGGGGGCAGGGAAGGAGCTGGGTGGACAAGGAGTCGAGGCCCTGCCTACAGTGATCGCTGACGGGCCAGGCCCCACCCACCACACCCCTGCCTGGTGTCCCCCAGCCTGGCCCTTGTCCCGCCCCGAGGCCTCTGTGAGTGGGGGCCAGGGACCTCACCGCCTCTGCCCTTGTCCTCCCCAGCCTCCTGCCTCACCACCCAGACCCGGGGGGCAGCCGCTGGCAGCAGCTCTGCTGTGTCTATGTTCATTGTGTCCCCGCAGGAGCAGCGGATGCCCTACTGCCTCAGCCCCAGTCCCCGTGGGAGATTTGGGGCTCGCCCTCCGTCCTGGGTATTTACACACCCACACTTGCGCTCACACATGTGCACACACAGGCGCATTCACACACTTGGGCCACACCACGCACTCACAGGCTGCATTCTTGCCTTGTCAGGTGGTTTTCCACATTCCACAAGACAAGGTCTTTTGTTATTTTGTTGCCACTTTTTATGTAATATGTAGCTGTTTATATAAAATGTAGCAACCCCAGCTCTGCAGCCCCAGGCACTCAGCCCCACCCCCCTCACTGCTCACTGCTCGCTGCTGACCACTCACCGCCCTGGGTCTCAGTTCCCCCATCTTGGCCCCAGGGAACAGCAGCCTGTCCAGCCCTCCCTCTGCAGGACTGTGTGAATGAATGAGTGAGTGGGCAGTCTGTGCTGGCCCGTCCTCTCCCTGTGGCCAGGCTGGGGCCCTGCCAGTATTGGATTAGGAAGCAGGTCTCAGAGCCCTGGGGAGCTGGGTGTGGGGGCCTCTCTAGGCAGGCTGGGCTGTGTCCGTACAAACCCCTCCTGCCACCTGCTCGACCTTCAGTTTCTTCTTCTAAGTGGCAAAGGGGAGAAATTAGGGTTTTCCGGAACCCCCACACATTTGTGGTTGGGAAAGACTCCTGTGGCAAAAGACAGAAAACAGGTTCATCGGTGCAGGGCGTGTCCTGGAAAAGGGGAGAAGAGGCACTTTGCCGTGCCTAGAGTCCTGGCTTCTGCAGAGCCCAGCAGAGACCAGTGCACATGGAGAAGCCGAGGGGTACAGGGACGCAGCGTGAGGCCCTCGGAGGTGGGGGAATGCAGGAGGGTGAGTTTATGGGAAAAAGAATGAAGTGGGTGGGCGCGGGTCCTGGGGCTGTCTCTGGGTCCTGAGGGCTGTGAGGGGCATTTACATCCTGTCCAGGCGGTAACAGGAGGAGCCTTAGTCTTGGGATGCTGTGTGCTGCTTTCCTCTCAAAGGGAGGCAAGGCTGAGAGCTTCCCTGAATCTGCTGCCTAGTGGGCTTTAGCTCAGAAACATCCACATCTAAGAGGCAGATTTTGAGATGAGACATTCTGATATAGCGGCCCAGGGAAGACTTCCCCTCCGTCCCATGAAGGTTCTTGGAAGAATCCACTTGCGAAAAGCGGATTAATAGGGCAGAGGTGCTGGCATTCATTGTGAATAGGCATGGAGAGGTAGGGCGAAGATGCTGACCTGCCCTCCTCCCAGGGAAAGGGGCATGGGCAGCCTGGATGATTCTAGGGGGGTAGGAATTTTTTTTTTTTTTTTTTTTGAGACAGAGTCTCATTCTGTTGCCCAGGCTGGAGCGCAGTGGCACAATCTTGGCTCGCTGCAACCTCTGCCTCCCAGGTTCAAGCAATTTTCCTGCCTCAGCCTCCTGAGTAGCTGGGATTACAGGCACCCACCACCACGCCCAGCTGTTTTTTGTATTTTTAGTAGAGACGGGGTTTCACCATGTTGGCCAGCCTGGTCTCGAACTCCTGGCCTCTGGTGATCCACCCGCCTCTGCTTCCCAAAGTGCTGGGATTACAGGCGCGAGCCACTGTGCACGGCCATGAATGGTTTTTAGGGGATTCAATGGGCTTGGACAGCATCTGTTAGCCCTGGTGACCACCTGCCCAAGTGTGTTGGCAGACACAGGTCTTTCTTCCTACGATGACCTCAGTGCATGGAAACTCAGGGAGGGGACTGGCCGTCACTGTTCCTTTCTCCAGCAGCTATGGGCTTTAGGCAGATTCGGGGGCTTCAGGGAGCAGCTGCATCCTGAGCTTGGAGGAGGCAGAGGGTCGAGAGGCAGAAGGGGGAGGTCAGGGAGACCTGCGGCTGCGTCAGTTCACATCAGACTGCATTTTGGGTTTCTGAGCCCCCAGCGCTGGCTTCCTTCAGCAGGGAGACCGATCCCTTCTCCTTGGGGCTATTGTTAGGGCAGAAAGGGAGGGTGGCCTTGGAGGTGAAAACCCTTCTCAGTTCTGACACAAAGGAGGGCTCAGAACAGGCTACTCTTATCCCCCCAGGCAGAGCCCACAGCATAGCAGGGAGGGCCCTGAGCCTGGGTCCAGGCCTGCAGGGGTGAGAGGAGGGGGCGGGGCTAGAGGGGAAGGAGGGGAAGGTGAGCTGGGCCTAGGAGGACAGAGACGGAAACAGAGTGGGTAGAGGGGGGCAAACAGCTTCTAGAAGATTCCAAGGGTAGGAGGAGGTTGTGTCTGTGAGACTGATTCCAGCAGAACTGAGCCACTGGCCTTGTGGGGTCTCTGGGGACTGCTGGGCTGGCCATACCTGCCTGCCCCTCCGCCCAGTGGGGCAGGGGCCTGGCTGGCGCCTGGGCTCTGTATTGGATCCTGAGTTTTGCAGACAGACCTGTGTTTGGTGGCCTCCTGCTCAGGTGGGGCTGTGGGTTTGGGATCATTTTCCTGTTTTCCTTGTTCCTAGCTCAGGGCTGGTACAACCAGAGGGGGCCAGGCTGGCCTGGCCTGAGCCGGAGGAAGTAGCTCTGTGGTCCCTCAGATCAGCCCCTGAGATGGGGCAGGGGCACCTGTCCCCCAGCCCAGCTGGTGGGGAAGGGAGGCTGTCAGGCTAGAAGCCCGCCATGGCCAGAGTGGGGATGTTCATGCGCCCCGCAGCGCGCACTATCCCTTGACCCCCTGCCTGCTTGAGGCACTTGCCCTCCTGGCCCCCAGGGCCCTGACACCTGGTTGGGGAGAAGGCGGAGGGAGGAGCAGAAGCCCACAGCTGAGCTGGCATCCGCCCTGGCCGAGGAATGGCTGCTCCACTGCCTCACCTCACGGCCTGGAGAAGGCTGCTGATGCCATGGAGGGACCGGGGCTGCACGGAGGAGGCCGCCCTTCTCCTCTCCACACCCTTAGTGAAATGCAGTCATGAGTGTCCCTCCCCTCAAACAACAAGAAAGGGCTGGCCGTGCAGTAGGAAACGGGCACGTGGCACGGAGGCTGTGCAGGTGCCATCTGGGAAATCCCAGGTAGAACCGCATGAGAGGCAGATCCACGGTACTGGATGGAAGGCCCAGTGTGGCCGGCGTGGCGGGACGCGGAGCCTGGAGCCCCTGCCTGGGGTGTTGCCGGCCCTACGAGCGATGGCCACTCGGGTCCCCTGGACCCAGGAGCTCCCTCGGGTGGGGGCCCGCCTGTAGGGAGGTGTGTGTGTTCTCAGCTTCCCGCTCTGGCGGGCAGATGGTAGCCTGGGCTGTTCACACGGCCGCCACACAGCAAGAGCACGCGCCGCACACCCCGCCGGCCGCATGCCTGGGAGGACTCCAGTGGGGACAGAAGGAGCCACGCACAGCAGCCTCTGTGGTGTCATTTCTAGGATGTTCAGAACAGGCAGACCTAGGATGCACCCTCAGGAGCTGGATGGCGGGCTCCGCTGGGGCCTTCGGGACGCTGAACTTGCCTGTGTGGATCTGGGTGGGGTGAGGGAGCTCAGACAGGCCCCTGCACCAAAGCACTTGCCACAGGAGTCACGCCCCGGGACACACGGACTCACCAGCTGTGCAGAGGGTGTCTGGAGCCCCCTAGGGGGCACCCGGACCCTGTTACCCAGGCCCTGGGATGATGGTGGGGCCTCACAGTCAGCACCCTGGTCCTGCTTTCTGCTGGTGGGGTGAAAATCCTGCTCCCAGACCACTTGCTGCCGGCCGCCATGGGGTCCCCTATCTCATGCCTGCCCCACTCTTGATTTCAGGGCTATGAGGGCCTCGTGGAGGGAGGTGAGAACATCAAGCAGGCCAACTGGCTGAGCGTCTCCAACATCATCCAGCTGGTGAGGCCTGGGAACGCGGATGCATGTTGCACTTGGACTCGCAGACAGACACACAGAGACAGACCTGCACACACAGACACACACACAGAGACAGACACGTGCACAAACACACACATGCAGACACACAGACATGCACACAGACGCACACACACACAGATGTGCACACACACAGATGCGTGCACACACAGACCCGTGCACGGACACACAGGCGCGCACAGACACAGACACGTGCACAGACACACACAGACATGCACACATACAGACACACAGACGTGCACACAGACACACAGACGCGCACACAGACACACACAGATGCACACAGACATGGAGACAGATACACATGGATAGACACATGCAGACACATAAATACACAGATACACACGTAGACACACAGATGCGCACACAGGTACACAGATACAGAAACATACAGACATATGTACTCAGAGTCACACACACACGTGCCCCATCGCACAGGGACTCAGGTTCAGGCCGACCCTGTCATCTGCTGCCATGGAATTGTTGGGTCGCAGGGTCATGGGGTTGCCAGGGGCCAGGAGGACCTGGAGACGTGGCCGTGCTGGGTCCTGGGGGAGCCCTGGCTGAGGCTGGCTATGAGGGGCCACGTGAGCGCACCTGGAGCTGCTGAGGCTTGAGCCCTGGAGGCCCTGGCCGGTTCCCTGAGTTGGTACAGGGCCTGTGTGTGCACGTGTGCACGCACATGTGTGTGGCAACCTATGCGTGTGTGTACTGTGCTTTCCAGTCTCCAAAGCCTTCCACTCTATTACCTTGGGGCTTCCCAAGCCCAGGACCGGACGGACATCATCCTCCTCTTTGTCTCTCCAAGGAGAGAGGCCCAGGGAGGTAGGGCCACCTCAGGTTTCCAGAGACCCCGGGGCTTCTGCCTCTCACTCTGCAGGGTCTGCCAGCCCCTTGCTGCCCAGTCCTGGGGTCCCTCTGGTGATCCCCAGGGGCTGTCTGCCGCCTGCCATCTCTCCTGAAGTTTCTGGTCTCCTCTGTGCAGGGCGGCACTATCATTGGCAGCGCTCGCTGCAAGGCCTTTACCACCAGGGAGGGGCGCCGGGCAGCGGCCTACAACCTGGTCCAGCACGGCATCACCAACCTGTGCGTCATCGGCGGGGATGGCAGCCTCACAGGTGCCAACATCTTCCGCAGCGAGTGGGGCAGCCTGCTGGAGGAGCTGGTGGCGGAAGGTGGGTCTGTGCCCGGCGCACTGTAGGCCCTGGGGTTTTGTTTTGCCGCTGCTGCCAGGCGTGGGAATGGGCAGGACAGAGGGACGAGGGATCCCTGGGTGCCCCGAGGCAGAGGAGGGGCTGTCTGGCCGTTGGCCGGGGAGGAGTAGTGTCTGCCAGCACGAGCTCAGATGTCTCCCAGAGATGGAGGTCAGTGCTCAAGCCTGAGGGAGGGCACCCAGGCAGTGCATGGGGCTGGTGGAGGCCGGTGTTGCTCACCCTACGCTGCGTAGACAAGTCTTCTCTGTGATTGATCCGAGTGAGATTCTGGACATGCATGGTCACAGTCTGCAGAAATAGAGTTGAAGTTGGGGTGACATAAGACACAGAGTCCCGAGATTGCTGCTTGGAAAGTGGCCTCTCGGAGCCATGTCTGTTCCATGTCCCTCATGTGGGGGACCCTGATGTGAGGCCTTGGCCGCTCTGCAAGGCACCCCAGAGGTCCCCCGTCTGCACTTGGCCCCAGCGGATCCAGCCATGCTGCCACAGGGTTCCAGGCAGGAGGAGGCTGAGCCTGGAACTCCGGGGCCCCTGCCGGGCTGCACGCCTGGGATGCGGGGGAAGGGGTGGCAGGAGAGGGGTCTCTGGCCCTGTGGTGGGGCCAGTGGAGCCTCAGCCAGGTCCTCCTGCTGCTCCTGGCCCAGGTAAGATCTCAGAGACTACAGCCCGGACCTACTCGCACCTGAACATCGCGGGCCTAGTGGGCTCCATCGATAACGACTTCTGCGGCACCGACATGACCATCGGCACGGACTCGGCCCTCCACCGCATCATGGAGGTCATCGATGCCATCACCACCACTGCCCAGAGGTGAGTGAGGCTGGCGCCGGCGGCCAGCCCAGGGCCCCTCCTCCCCGCACGGTGGTGAGGTGGTCTCAGGGTGACGGCCATCTGCAAGGGCAGTGGACTCTGGTAGCCCCAGCATCCAGGCCAGCCGCCCTCAGCCCCCAGCTGGGGGAACGCACAGCGGGCTCCACTCCCACTCTGCCAGGCCGCGGGGGGCCTTTGTGCAGCCCCTTCTGAGGGGCAGCTGCTTGCCCTGGGGTGTGACGCCCCCAAAGGAAGTCCTGGGCTGGCCAGGCCTGGGCTTGGCAAATGACCCTCAGCCTGGGAGGAGATCAGTCGAAACCAGCCCAAAGGCTGGAAGGATCCCAAGGTATCTTTTAGCTCAGAGCCTGGGCATGAGAAGGGGCTGTCCCCTGCCTGCCTCTCCATCCACTGGGTCCCTTGAGCACCCCGCAGGGAATCGGGCTGGCAGGGCCGTGTGGCTGGCACTGATGCATCCTCCTGTTCCATCTCCACAGCCACCAGAGGACCTTCGTGCTGGAAGTGATGGGCCGGCACTGCGGGTGAGGAGGGGCTTCCTGGCCCGCTGGGTGGCCCGGGTGCTGCTGGGGACCGCAGTGACAGGTGTGGCATATTTATTCTAGGGCTCAGTTAATGCCATGGGTGTGAGAGAGCCGGGTGGGGGCCGGGAGAGACAGAGAAGCTGTGGCCCAGAGTCGGACCTCTGGGTACAGGGAAGCTCCCCTCAACGGCTGGGTGGGGGTCCTGAGCAGGCAGGCGCTCGCTCCTCCAGGTACCTGGCGCTGGTATCTGCACTGGCCTCAGGGGCCGACTGGCTGTTCATCCCCGAGGCTCCACCCGAGGACGGCTGGGAGAACTTCATGTGTGAGAGGCTGGGTGAGGTGGGTGCCGTCCAGCCTGCTGGGGGCCGCAGGTGTCCTGGTGCACTGGGTAGCGCCCCTGGGGTTTTGGGACCAGCCTTGACCAACTCATCTATCACTCATGGGTTCATCAGCAGCTGCAGGTGCCCCTTGGGGGCGGGACACGCAAGGAGTGGGGGGCTACGGGGCTGACCTCAGTGAGGCACCTGTGGTCCTGCCCCCAGTGGGCAGGAGGCGGAGAGGGTCACTCAGGCTGCCGCCGCCCCAGGCTCAGCCCCGTGGTCAGTGTGGGGAGCTTGGTGAGGCTGCTTACTGGGGTGGGACTGCTGAGCCTGGGGCGGTGGGAGGTGGTTGGTTGTGAGGGAGTGGCCCCAGCAAGGTCCAGACGGCAGGGCTGTGGGGGTGGCGAGGCCAGGAGCTGGGCCAGTGGGGAGCAGGGCCTTCCCCTGAGGGCGGTCGGGGCCCGGGGGTGGGTTCTAGGCTGGAAAGATGTGTCGGAACGTGGCTGTAGCCACAGGGTGGACAGGAGGTCCCGGAAGCAGGAGAGGGTGGGGAGGCTGCTGGGAGGCCGAGACCGCCTCTGGGAGGGATGGGGGGGTGCCTGGTGGGGAGGGGTGTGTCTGGAGTGGGGGTGCCTGGAATGCCGCCCTCTGGTTCCCTTGGGGTGGAGTTGGGGGCTCTGGCCTAGAACAGGCTGACACTGCCCTGTGGACCCTGAGACCCCTCAACTGGGACAGGTCGGCCCCTTGGTGGGGTGGGGCTCAATGGTGGACCAGAGGCACGGGCCATTCAGGCTGTCCTTCGCCCACACCCGACCATGCAGGGCAAGGCCAGGGGCCCCCGTGGCTCTAGCTCTGTCCTCTGTGCGCTGAGGCTGAGGCAGGACCACTGGAACCAGCCCTGGGGGCAGAGGGTGGGTTTGGGACTGACACGGTATCCCTGTCCCCGTGTGAAGGTGGCAGCGTCACTCCCATCTGTGTGGACACTGGTTCCACCTCCGCGTGGCTGTACAGTGCTGCCGAGGGCAGTGGGAGAGGCCGTGGGTAATGACCTGGCTTCTAGAACCTTCCCCAGTGGAGCCTAGGGGCCGGGCGGAGATGGAGCCCAACAGGCGAGGCTGGCCCAAGGTGCGGGTCCTATGAGGGGCTTGCTCTCCTAGGGCAGGGACTTCCCGGGGGTTCCGGCTCCAGTGGTGACCTTGGCCTTAGCTTATGTCTGTGACTCACATTGGGCCCTCCTGGAAGTGGCCTGGATGCAAGGTCGGCCCACCTGGTTCCTTCCTGCTCTGTGTGAGCAGCTCAGGCCCTCACTGAGAGTCTGTTTCCCCCTGTAACATGCGGGTTCCCGCCTTGCCCACCACCCAGGGTGCACTGGGGCAGGGAGGGTGGCACAGCTCTCCTGCTGGACCTGCAGCCCATCTTCCGGGTGTCTGACCTCACCTGCACTGGCGCCACCTCCTCCAGGTAGCCCTCCACTCCCACCACACCCGGGCCCTGTCTGAGCTGCTCCAACCCTGTCCCTGTAGGAGGCATTGTGGCCCGTGGTGGGCAAACATGGGGCTTGTGGCTCAGAGCGAGTCCCACAAATGTTGGCTGGGTCATTGAAGTGGACGGCCGAAAAGCTCTTTCAGTTCCCAGAGAGCTGGGCCGCGGCTGGTGTGTGGTGCTGAGGCAGCAGCCTGAGGCTGGCAGAGGGGATGGTGTGTCCTATGTGCACCAGTGTGGACCCACAGTGGCTTCAGGGTGCAGGGTGTCCGGGGAGCCCTGGCTGGTGCCAGCGATGCGGGGCCCCTGGTTATAAGGATGAGCAGATGGAAGCTCACAGGGGCCCCAGGTACCTGGCCCAGGCTAGCCCGGGCAGGCCCCTCTGCCCTGTGCCCCGTGGAGCTGCAGCCCTGTGCGTCTTCCCGCCTGGAAGGCTTCACCAGACACAAGGGCCCAGCCCCAGCTGTGTGTGTGCTGGGCCCAGCCCCGAGGGCCCCCTTCCTCCCCTGCTGCCCTTCCCAGGCTTTCGGGCAGAGCCCTCTTGTTCACCGCCTCCAGGAGGGCGGGGCGTCCTAGTGGGCCCAGCCTCATCTCTGCCCTCGCGCTCCAGGCCTGCTTTCCTCCTGCTGGGTGGGGATTGTGCCCTGGCCCATGTGGGTTGGGAATGGTGGCCCCAGGGAGGGCTCCTGGCACCCGGGGGCTGTGTCCGGGGCAGGTTTCCCTGCCTGGCAGCTGAGCCCTGTCGTGTCTTTGACCCAGACTCGGAGCCGTGGGTCCCGACTGAACATCATCATCATCGCTGAGGGTGCCATTGACCGCAACGGGAAGCCCATCTCGTCCAGCTACGTGAAGGACGTGCGTGTGGGCCTGGGGGTGGCCACTGGGCACCTGCTCCTCTAGGCCGTGTGGGCTGGGGCTCAGGGCTGGTCCTTCCCACTGTCCTGCAGCTGGTGGTTCAGAGGCTGGGCTTCGACACCCGTGTAACTGTGCTGGGCCACGTGCAGCGGGGAGGGACGCCCTCTGCCTTCGACCGGATCCTGGTAAGTGGCCATCACCCTGCCCTGCGTACGTGCGTGGGTAAGCGTGGTGTGTGGGTGTGGGTGTGGGCAGTGTGCACGCGAGCATGGCACGTGCACTGTGTCCATGTGGCTGTGGGTGAGTGTCCGTGTCTGTGTGTGGGGGTGTATGTGTGGGGGACGCGTGGTCCTTGTGGGTGTGTCTGTGTGTGTCTGGTCCGTGTGGGTGTGTGTGGCAGTGTGTGTGGGTGTGTGTCAGTGTGGGTGTGTGTGGGTGTTCCCTCAAGCTGTTGCTCCTCCTGGGGGAGACTGAGGCCTGGCTTCTCCGTTCCCCTGCAGGTATAGGGAACTCAGACCTGGGGACCATGGGAGGCCCCCCACCAGCCTGTGCCTCCTGGCTGTTCTGACCCCCACCCTCTGCCAGCCCAACGTGGCAGCAGTCAGGGCCAGGGGCAGGCCCTGGGAGAGGGGCTGGGTGGGCAGAGGGTGGTGCCCATGGCGCCTGTGGCGTCACAGTCTGGGAGGCTGGTGCTGGGAGGGAGCATTCGGGGTCTGGCCTGGCCTCGCCGTCCTTGGTCCTGATCACCGCTGGGTCTCACTTTGTCCTCTGCAAAATGGGAATGAAGTTGGAGCCAAATGGAGTGGGTCTGGGGCCAGGAAGGCACCATGGTAGGCAAAATGCCTGTGTATGAGGGTGGTCACCCTCTCAGGCAGGGCCAGAGACTGTCAGACAGGTGGGACTTGTGCTGAGGGAGACCAGGTGACTGCGCCCAGCCCTGTGACTGCACCTGGCCCTGTGACTCGTGTGCTGAGCCGAGCATTCCCAGGGAACCCACACAGCTGGACGAGGGCCACTCTATAGAGGGGAGGCTTCCTCAGAGAGGGGCCCCGCCGACCTAGCCAGGCAGCTGCTGTCCCCTCTGTGAGGCCTCAGGCTCACTCTGAAGAGCCTCTTGAGGGGCCGGGGACATCAGGGCAAGCCAGCCGCTGCTGAGCCTGGGGTGATGGAAATGCCGCTGCTGTGACCGGGCCAGCCATGCACTCCCAGCCTGCAGGCTGCTGGGTTTTCCAGCCAGTGTCTTGGATGCCTGATGCCGGGTGTGAAACAAAGGACAGTTGATCGCCCCTAGCCGCGGCTGTCACCCAGAGCGTCAGCATTCTTGTGCTCCCTGAGCCCGTATTCCCACTGGGTGCTGCGAAGGGGCCAGGGGACCCTAGCACGTGCAGTGGTAACCTGCACTTTTCCAAGGAGCCTCATCCTGCATGGGGGGTGTCTCCGAGGCTGCTCCCTAAACAGCGTCCTGGAGAGACTGCCCAGAATAAGGTGCCGCCTGTGCCTCACTTGCAAGATGAAAAAACCTGTGTGGAACACGGAGGGCTGTCTGTGGCCCCGGGGGTCCAGCTGCTGGGCTTCTACAGGGCTGGCCACTGGTGGTCATGGGACGGCCACGGCAACCGCAGGCCTGGCTTTCTTGTCCACTGTGGCCGGTTCCCGGGGTGGGGCTGGGGCCTGCCTTTGCAGTGTGTCCCTGGGGGGCAGCTCCTGGATGTGTCCTCTGCCCAGCCCTTTGGCCGGTGCGGACACACACCAGGGAAGTCACGACATGAGGGCCTCCACGGGAGGATCCATCGCAGCGGATGGGGCCCTGGGGACCTGGCTCCCGCCCTTGCCTTGCGCGCCTAGCGATGGCAGCGAGCGACGGTGGGTGGGTCGCATTGCATGGCACCCTGCAGCCAGCAGTGCAGGCTGGGCCTTCCAGCAGGGCAGCGAGGACTCTGTGAAATGGTGTCTGGTGTGCCGTCGTGAATGCTGGTCAGACACGTTTCCATCTCTGATGCCACCTGTTCTGGAAGCTTCCGTCAGCGTGGGGGGCTCTGGAAGCTGGGGTTTGCACATCTACAGAGGATGGGCATGTGGCTTGGGGTAGAGGGACCAAGTGGGTGTGCCAGCCTGAACCCTTCCCCACAGAGCAGCAAGATGGGCATGGAGGCGGTGATGGCGCTGCTGGAAGCCACGCCTGACACGCCGGCCTGCGTGGTCACCCTCTCGGGGAACCAGTCAGTGCGGCTGCCCCTCATGGAGTGCGTGCAGATGGTAAGCCCTGGGCCCCCCCCATCAGAACCGCCTGGCCCCTCTCCCCAGTCCCCACTCACAGGCCCCACTGCTCTCTGGGGGCCCCAGCACTGTGAGCACCGGAGGGCAGGGCCTCGTGGCTGGCCCAGGGCATCCCAGGTCTCCAGGGAGGGGAGGGATGTGAGCACATCCCTGGGTGGGACGTGGGACCTGGGACGTTCCCCAGGAGGTGTGTCGGAGCTGCAGGGAGCCTGGTGAGCATGGGAAGTCACAGGGGTCCACGGCCACTGAGCTTCTGTAGGCAGTGGTGGGAGTTGGGGTTACGATGGGACGGAGGAGGAGGGGCCAGTGATCAGAGCAGAGCCCTGGGAGGAGCTCAGGCAGGTGATGGGGAACACTGGGGTGGCTGGAGCAGGGACCCCAGGAGAGGAGGTACGGGGAAGGCAGAGGCGAGGGGGCCGGGTGTGGGGGCTGGTCCAGCCCTGGCTCGGTGGGTTTGGAGGCCTGCAACTGGGGCAGAGTGCCCTGCCTGGAGCTGGAGCTGCTGAGAGGTGAGGAGGGCAGCTGGGGGCAGGGTAGGGCCTCCTGGTCTCAGCCAGCCCCAGAAGAGCTGGCCTTGGTGGTGACCGCTGTTCCTAGGGAGAGGCTGCCAGGCCTGGGCCAGGGTCAGGAGATGCCGGCCAGATCTGCCCTCGTCAGGCCCACCAGACAGGGCAGTAGCCATGGGTGTGCGGGCCAGGCTCTCCATAGTCTGTGTTCTGTTTCTCTTCCTTAAGACCAAGGAAGTGCAGAAAGCCATGGATGACAAGAGGTTTGACGAGGCCACCCAGCTCCGTGGTGGGTAAGCCCCCTCAGCAGACCCCTGCACTCTTACATGGCTGGGTCCCGGTGCCAGGCAGCATGTGCTGCAGTGGCGCTATGCACGCCTGGCCTGGGTCATCCTTCTAGGCACCGCGTCTGAAGATCGAGGGAGGAAGGGGCCTGCGGGTGGTACAGGAGGCGGGCTGGGAGGTGTGGTACCACAGGAGACCCTGGGCGGTGGCACGGGCAGGGCCCAGTGCACAGGGATCTGGGCATGGCGAGGGGATGAGAAGCTGTGGATACAAGCCCAGGACATGGGGTGGCCCCGCGGGGGCTGGGAAGGCTGGCAGATGTTGGGTGTGGGTACCACCCCCCTGCAGGCGTCCTGGCGGCCGGGTCAGGCTGGATTGGACGTCTGGGTTCCCATGCGTGCCTCCACCCGCTACCAAGGTGGCCAACCCTCCCTTGAGCTGGATGCCGGCCACGTGCTTTGCTGCACGGGCTGGCGTGGCCTCGTGTTGTGTTGGGGGTCTCGCACCTTCTGTGGAAGGTGCCCTGCCTGGCATGCGCGGTGTCTGCTGCCTCATGGCTGAGCTTCCATCGGGCCGTGTGCCTGTGACCAGCCTCCTGGGCTCTGTCACGGCTGCGCTGTGGCTGTACGCCGTGGCGCTGCAGGGCTGTGCATGGTGTGACCCGAATCCCTTCCAGGAGCTTCGAGAACAACTGGAACATTTACAAGCTCCTCGCCCACCAGAAGCCCCCCAAGGAGAAGGTGAGGCAGGGAGCGGCGCCCACAGAGGGAGGAACGGGCTCAGTTATTCTGCAGCCTCTTCACGCTGGCCCCGTGGCTGGGCCTGCCTGCCCCCACCTTCCCTCCTGCTGGGGTCCGAGCTGTGAGCTGGGAGGGTGGGCCTGACCTCTGCCTGGGCTCAGGCACCACTGTGGCTGGCAGGTCCCGGGTGCTGGGACCCTGGCTGCAGGGCTGGCTGTTGCTTCTCAGTGGTGGATGGAAATGAAGTCAGGCCACAGGCTTAACTCAGGAGAGGAGAAGCCATTGTGTAGAAAATGTCCCCCGGGGCCAGGCTCACACCTGTAATCCCAGCACTTTGGAAGGCTGAGGTGGCCAGTTCACCTGAGGTCAGGAGTTCGAGACCAGCCTGGCCAACATGGTGAAACTCCGTCTCTACTAAAAATACAAAAATTAGCTGGGCGTGGTGGTGGCACATGCCTGTAATCACAGCTACTCAGGAGGCTGAGGCAGGAGAATAGCTTGAACTTGGGAGGTGGAGGGTGCAGTGAGCCGAGATCGTGCCATTGCACTCCAGCCCGGGCGGCAAGAGTGAAACTCTGAAAATAAAATGTTCCCAAACAGCTGAAAACCTCAGGAAATGGGATCTCTCCAAAATAAGGATGAAATGGCTTGTTTCTAAAGTCCTGGGGGACGAGGGTCCTGTAGAGAGAGTCACGGCCAGTGAGGTCCTGGCTCCCAAGCCCCTTGAGCCACAGCCGGAGCTGCAGGCCGGGGCAGACAGCGTGGCCCAGCCTGAGTCTGGTCCTCCCTTCCATGGACATCTTTGGGTGTCCCTGCTGCTCCAGCCTCCTGCTTATCCCCAGAGCTAGTCAGCGGGCTCTACCCTCCGTGGTGGGGCAACCTGGTCTCCACGAACCCAGAACCTGGCAGGGGCGTGACTGGCTTTGTGGGCAGCAGGGCTGGCTCGTACCAGGACCCAGTGGGGCCATGTGGCTATGGAGCCCTTGGGTGTGGCTGCTGCCAAGTGGGATGTGCTGCACGTGACAGGTGCACGCCAGGTTCAGAGCCTCAGCACGGTGGGTGGAGGGGAGGTGGTGGCGGCCGTCACTGGATTCACATGGATGTGGTGGGGTTTTGGGTCCATCAGGTTAAATTAACTGTAGTCCTGATGGGACTGTCTCCATGTCTTTTCCCTTCCCTTAACGTGGCTACTAGAAAACAGGATAGCCAGGGCCCCTTCCTTACTCGTGGCTGTGCACCCCCCACCCTCCCGCCCGCTGCCAGCCCCTTGTGTGGGCACTGACCTGTGTTCCCGCCCGCAAGCCTGGCTTCACAACAGTGCTCGCCCCTTCTGCCTCCTCTGTTGCCTGCGTGCCAGGGGGCCAGGCTTGCACCGTGTCTCTTTTGGTCTTCACCAGAATCTTCTGGAATTAGAACAGATACCGTATTCCCAGGGCAGTTGGGCGGTGTGCTGGGCAGCGTCCAGGCTGCTGGCAGGGCCTGGCCCCTTTTTCCAGAACCTGCCGGCCTGCTGACCTCCTGTGCAGGTTGGGGGTCCCCTCCCCGGCTGTGCCTCACGCTCATCTCCCCTTCTCTCTGAAGTCTAACTTCTCCCTGGCCATCCTGAATGTGGGGGCCCCGGCGGCTGGCATGAATGCGGCCGTGCGCTCGGCGGTGCGGACCGGCATCTCCCATGGACACACAGTATACGTGGTGCACGATGGCTTCGAAGGCCTAGCCAAGGGTCAGGTGGGTCCGGCCGGGGCAAACAAGTGAGGACTTGGGCCTTCTGTGTGCACACTTGGGGCATTTCCTGTGGAAGGCCGGCTGCTGGAGGTGGAGGCTGAGACCTGGGTCCGCGTGTCGGTGCCCACCCGGGCCTGGGTACTCAGCTCTGCCTGCAGCGTGATGCCCAACACTGGCTGGCCCCCGGGCACAGGCCCACCCCTGGGGGGAATTGGCCAGAGGCTCAGGCTGGCCCCTGAAGCTGCATCTCCTCCTGGCAGGTGCAAGAAGTAGGCTGGCACGACGTGGCCGGCTGGTTGGGGCGTGGTGGCTCCATGCTGGGGACCAAGAGGTGAGCTGCCTGCTGCGGGTACCTGGGGGCAGGAGGGCCAGGGCGCAGTATCCAGGCCCTGCAGGTGGGGGCGGCAAGGGGAACCCAGCCCGGGGCCCTGGGCTCGGCCCCTCTTCCTGCTGGTGGTCTGCCCAGAGCAGGCTTCACGCCTCCTGCCTGGGGCTTCCTGGCCTGAGCTCCGCTGTGTAGGGCAGGCTGCTCTGGCGGCCCCATGCCCATGGTGGGCTCTCCGTGGCAAGGAAGCTGGCGAGCGTCTGTCCCTGCCTGGCCAGGCCAGGCAGCCTGCACTGTCAGCACTCTGGCTGAGGCTATGGGCCTGTCTGATGGCTTTTGTCCCAGGGCCTGAGACCCTTCTGTGGGCATGGGGTGGGCACAGTCCCCCTGTGTGACTACAGGGGAAGTTGCTGAGTCCTGAGCCACTGAGTGGCTGCAAGGGCCAGAGGAAGCATCCGCTCCTGCCGCTGAGTGTTGGGCGAGAAAGCCTCGGGCAGGAAGGGGTTCCCACGGGGAGCCCAGCGGGGTGGGGGGTTCACTCGGTTGCCTGGCCGGTGCCTGGTGATGCTGAGTGGTGCCCAGGCGGCTCACGCTGGGCCTGTGTGTCCCTCTCCGTGTGGAGCCACAGCGCCACATCCCGGGCATTGCAGCGACTGCTGACTGGCTCGGGGAACGGCCAAGGCAATGCCTTTCTGTGATCAGATGCAATCTGGACACGCGTCCCCGGGTGCTGCGTGTTCATGCGGATGTGTCTTTGACTGCAGGACCCTGCCCAAGGGCCAGCTGGAGTCCATTGTGGAGAACATCCGCATCTATGGTATTCACGCCCTGCTGGTGGTCGGTGGGTTTGAGGTGAGAGCTGCCCACGGACGAAAAAGCCCCAGGGCACAGGAGACCCAAGGTGTCCTCCCGCCGAGGGGGCCCATCCTGAAAACCCGTGTGCTGGCTGGGCCGATGCAGGGGCCGAGAGGGTCGGGGTTTTAAGTGCTGTGTGTGGGCTCGGGAGGGCACCCGTGTGCCAGCTGGGCTGATGCAGGGGCCGAGAGGGTTGGGGTTTTAAGTGCTGTGTGTGGGCTCGGGAGGGTTCTTTACTTTCTCCGGAAAGCTTCACAAGGTTCCGATTAACCCCAGTGCTGGGGAGGGGCAGGGGAGGAAGGGGACTCGGAAGCTGGAGGACGAGAAAGAAGGGAGGCGGAGGAGGCAGAGGTGTAGGTGCTGGACGGCATCGCTGAACGTGGTGTCCTGGCACTGGGCAAGCTGTCACTAAATAATGAATAAATGACAGCCCTTCCCCCTTGCCCTCCATGGAGTGGATCTGGGGTCAGAGTGGGTTGGAGGAGACTCCTGACCCTCCTTAGAGTCCAGTTTCCCTGGTAGGCATCCTGAGATGACACCAGGCTGACTGCCTGGCCCAGCCCCAGGGGATTGAGCAGGTGGGTCCTGGCGTCCAGCACGGGGCACATGACAGGTCAGCAGGGAGCAGGGCTGGGCGGCCGCCGGCAGAGCCTGTCCCCGGCCCACCCTGGCCTCGGTGCTGCCCTTGACCTGCCCCGTCCCTACTGCTGCAGGCCTATGAAGGGGTGCTGCAGCTGGTGGAGGCTCGCGGGCGCTACGAGGAGCTCTGCATCGTCATGTGTGTCATCCCAGCCACCATCAGCAACAACGTCCCTGGCACCGACTTCAGCCTGGGCTCCGACACTGCTGTAAATGCCGCCATGGAGGTACGGGGCTCCTGGACACCGGCCTGCCATGCCCAGGCCCTTGTGGGGTGGGGCTGAGCCTACGGAGGCTGCTGGAGGGGATAGTGTGTGGTGAGCACCTGGGAGGGCTGCCAGGGTTGGGGTTTGTGGGGCACAGGCCCGGGTGAAGGGGCTCAGCTCCCTGCCATAGCCACTTCCAGGTCCAGGGGGGCCCTGCGTTGTTCCTCGCTACTGTGATGAGCTCAGATGGGGAGACTGAGGCGGGAATGTCCCTGCGCCCCAGTGCTGGGTAGTCTAAGAGCAGCGCCTGGCCTCTGTCCAAGGGTGCCAGGGACACCCCTGCCCACTCACAGCCAGTGTGTGTGCAGGCTGCTGTCCACTGTGCCCTGGGGGGTGGGGTCGCCTGGTTGAGAACCCCTGGTCCTGTGGGGCCCAGGTGGGAGGTGGGCCCAAGCCTGGTGCTGCTGGCTGTCTGGGTGCGTCAGCCCCAGGCTGGCTTTGGAGACACAGGGCTCCCTGCAGGGTAGCCATGCCGACGGCCTACAGGGAAGGGTGGGCACGTGGAGGACCCCCGACCCCCCCTTGTCCCCCAGAGCTGTGACCGCATCAAACAGTCTGCCTCGGGGACCAAGCGCCGTGTGTTCATCGTGGAGACCATGGGGGGTTACTGTGGCTACCTGGCCACCGTGACTGGCATTGCTGTGGGGGCCGACGCCGCCTACGTCTTCGAGGACCCTTTCAACATCCACGACTTAAAGGTGAGCCCAGCCCAGCCCCTGCTGCGGCAGACCTGCCGGCATGCCAGCCTGGGCCCCAGACACTCAGGCCGGCCAGCGCAGGGCAGGGCCCGGGCAGGTGGGACGCGTAGCCCAGTGCTCCTGCTGGCCCCGGATCGCCGGTCAGCCTGGAATTCCCTCCCCACAGTCCTCCGGCTCATCCGTGTCCGCCCCTCCCGCAGGTCAACGTGGAGCACATGACGGAGAAGATGAAGACAGACATTCAGAGGGGCCTGGTGCTGCGGTGAGGCTGCCGTGGGTCCCTGGCCACAGCTGCGCGTCCAACTCTCGGGGCTGGGGTGGGGCTGCTGAGGAGCGGCTGGGCAGGAGAAGGCAGGAGGGGTCCTTGGAGAGGGTGGGCCAGGGCGGCTTTCCTGGGAGCTGCCACTCCCTCTCCCAGGCCTGGCCCAGCGGGGACTCAGGATCGGGGGGAGACCTGAACTCGTTCCCGCCGACTCAGGCCCTGCTGCCCCTCTCAGGAACGAGAAGTGCCATGACTACTACACCACGGAGTTCCTGTACAACCTGTACTCATCAGAGGGCAAGGGCGTCTTCGACTGCAGGACCAATGTCCTGGGCCACCTGCAGCAGGTGTGGGGCAGGGGTGAGGCTCTGAGAGGCCTGCCCCTCTTTCCTGCCACCATCTGTCCCCGGCCCCAGGGGTCCCAGCCCTCACGGGCACCCACGGGCACTCCCGGCAGGCCCTCGGGCACGTGTGCCCTTCCCCAGTGAGGGGACCGAGGCCTGTATCTAGGTGAGGTCTCATTTCAAGAAGGGGTGGGGCTGGGGCTGGAGCCGGGGCCCGAGCCAGGGCATTCACATGCTGAGCCGAGCTCCCCACCCCTGCCAGGCCTCCCGCGGCCACTTCCGCCGAACCCCTCACCTAGATCCCCGCATGCTCCCTGCCTTATGGTGGCCCTGCAGGAAGCCCGCGTCCTGGGGTTTTCTGAGCCAGGGAGGGGAGTCAGGGTGGCTGGGCATGGGGCCCGAGGTGATGGGGCCCGAGGTGGGGCCGCTGGCTGCCGATGCAGGGCCCAGGAGTCACTTGACTTGGCCAGGGGCAGCCGACTGCCGGCCTCGGGAGGCAGCTTCTGGCCTGGACTTGGAGCTGGAGAGAGCAGGCAGGGTCCTCGATCGGGAACAGACGGGAACGGTGCACGGGTTGGAAGGAATGGGTGTTCACAAGCTGCCTGGGAGGCTCCCCGTGGGGATCCTGTCTGCACTGGCGTTGGCCTTGGCCCAGGCAGCCCAGGGGAGTCCAGGGAACCGGGCCTCACCTGTTTCCAGGGTGGCGCTCCAACCCCCTTTGACCGGAACTATGGGACCAAGCTGGGGGTGAAGGCCATGCTGTGGTTGTCGGAGAAGCTGCGCGAGGTTTACCGCAAGGGTAGGTGGTGGGTGCGACCCGAGGCCTCACTTTGCCCTCCCCTGGCTCCCTGGGGCAGGGCCTCACCATGGAGGGCTGCCACGTGCCTCTGTTTGCAGGACGGGTGTTCGCCAATGCCCCAGACTCGGCCTGCGTGATCGGCCTGAAGAAGAAGGCGGTGGCCTTCAGCCCCGTCACTGAGCTCAAGAAAGACACTGATTTCGAGTGAGTTCCACCAAAGCCTCGTGGAGGCGGGTGGGGCTGAGGGGTGGCCCAGACCTTCCCTGAGGCAGGTGTGCCAGGCCCAGCCCCACTGGCACCCTGACCCCGCAAGGCCTCCTGGGCCCCCATGCCCAGGTCCCCGCCAGGCCGTGGAGAGCAGGGACCATGCCCAAGTCTTCTGAGCACAACACTGGGCAATCCTTTCGGGTGGGCATGGGGGCACAGCGGGTAGCCAGGAGTGGGCACGCTTGAGGGCGGCTGAGGCTGACTCTGTGCTGTGCCTCCGAGGGATGGGGACCCCAGACCTGTCCCAGCTCCACGGATACCGAGATGTTCAGACAGAGGGGCATGCACAGGCTGCAGGGTCGGGGGGGGTGGGGGGGCTGGGGACGTGGCTGAAGAGCTGCCCTGACCCCTGACTCCCCATCATCCTCCCATCCCCGTCCTGCACAGGCACCGCATGCCACGGGAGCAGTGGTGGCTGAGCCTGCGGCTCATGCTGAAGATGCTGGCACAATACCGCATCAGTATGGCCGCCTACGTGTCAGGGGAGCTGGAGCACGTGACCCGCCGCACCCTGAGCATGGACAAGGGCTTCTGAGGCCAGCCATGCCCACGCCCCTCCCCAGCCCCCACCCATGCCAGCGCAGCGCCAGGGCTCAGATGGGGCCTGGGCTGTTGTGTCTGGAGCCTGCAGGCAGGTGGGGGCTGCGTCCCTGCTCAGCCCATCCCCTGCCTCTATCCCTGGCCACCTGCCAGGCCTCCCTCGGGCTGGTGTCTTGAGACCAGCCTGCCAGGCCCTCCAGCAGGAGGACAGAGTGCCCTGGGGCATCCACCTTCCTGCCCAGGGGACGTGGCGCTGTCGGTGTTTGGAGGCTGCTGCCCCCTGGCTTTGGCGCCCCATGGGCCCTCAGCGTCTCCCCATGCTGGGCTCACTACATGGGCCAGCCCTTGCTCTACCTGGCCGGTAGGCTGCTGGCGCCTAGGTTGTGTTGAGAGGGGGATGCCCCTGGCCCTGCCTCACTGTGACCTGCTCCTGCCCACGTGCAGCACCTGTCACCTTTTCTAGAAATAAAATCACCCTGACTGTGGGGTGCATCGGTCTCCGGAGAGCACAGCCTGCAGAACTCCTCAGAGAGAGGGGGGAGCAGCACCGAGCGGCCAGCCCAGTGGGCAGCAGCCCCAGGGGTGGAGGGCCCTCTGGCCAGTGCCTGGGCCAGGTCAAAGGGACATGTGCCCTGAGAGGCCACAGGTGCTCTCCAGGACTCCCTGGGGGCCACCAGGGTGACCTGAGCCCCTCCTGGTCCTCCCCTGGGGGCAGAAGGGTACAGCCTCACTCCTCTGTCTCCCCAACCTCAGCCTGAGTGGGGGTCTCCAACCTGCAGGCTGGTGGCTGGCTTGAGCCAGTATCCAGGAGACATTGATGGTGGACACGCAAGAGGGGAAAAGAAGGCAGCGCAGAGCTGCGCCCACCAGGGGCTAGGGCTGAGTCCTGCAGGCGGCTACGGGGTGGTGGACGCCCTGCTTGCAGGATGCCTGTTAACCTCAGCGTCGAAGCCTGCGCTCTGCATCATGAACGTGGGAGGTGCTTGCCCAAGAGGGCTGCTTCCTGCCCGCAGTGCCACCCTGGGGATGTGGTTTTGGGACACAGGAGGTGTCTCAAGGGAGACCCTGGCTTGGAGGGGCCTAAGGGCCACTTTGAGGGCCCCTGGGCAGTCTCCTGGTTGAGCTCAGGCCAGTGGGGTGGCCTAGGGACCTGGTGAAGGGGCTGGGGACCCTCTTGCCCTCGGGCACCTTGATATTCCCAAGAGCCCCTCACTGTGTTGGCCCTAGTGCCGGAGGCCTCCAGATTGCTTAACTCGAGCTGGGGTGGAGGGGCCCACACCTAGTGGCCTTCTAGTTCATTCTGAGCTGGGCCATCCTGGGGCCAGGCCCAGGAGTGGACAGTTGTCCAAGGACAGTGCTCCGGGGTCTGCAGCTCTGTCTCAAAGGAAGAGAGAAACAGGTTCATAGGCCCAGGGAACCACACAGGCATGCTCTGGGGGCCTCCGTTGTGTCACACCGTCTGGGATCAGGACTCAGTTCTGAGTAGACCCCCTCGGCCTGCCCTGCCTGATGAGGTGTTAGAACCTGTTCAGCTGCCACTCAGCTGCTGCACCCAGGTGGTCGCCTGTGGCTGATGCCCGGGACAGTGGCTGCCTCCCTCCTGGGCGACGTGGTGTGGCGAGCGCCTGCGTCAGGCCCACTTCTGGCTGCGTGGAGTTGGCGTTTCTGGCATTTCGGGCAGAGTGACGCGACCTCCTGGGCCCTTGGTCCTCTCCTGTGAACTGGGTGAATGGGACAGAGTGTGATGCCAGTGCTGCTCGGCTTGAGAACCCATTTTTGGGGTGACTTGGGGAGGAGTGGAGTGGGACTGTGGGGTGCCCCGGGCTGGACGTGCTTCTGGCTGTCCTCCATGGCTGGGTGCATTGGGTGAGGAGGTGCCGGGAGGGGAACAGGCAGGAGGCGGCAATGGTGGGGACGGGGTAGGGGGAACCGTGGGGCTGAAGGCAGGCAGCTGCCCCCACAGGTCCCACCCAAGGTGTGCATGATGTGGGGCAGGAGGGCGCTGGTGTAAGCCCCGCATGTCCACGGCAGCCCATGTCGGGGGAAGTGGAAGGGACTCAATTTAAAACGACCTCAACCATTCCAACAAAGCGCTTTACTGAGGGCACCCACTCCACAGTCCCAAGGAGGCAGACACAGGCCTGAACTGTCCACCCTCTATGTCCCGAGTGGTGACTCCACTCCCCACTGCTCAGAGATCACACCCCTTCTGGAGAGCTTGCATCCCTTCTGGAGAGCTTGCACGGATGAGTGACTGTCTTCACCCTGGGCTTCCCCAAGTCCGGCGACAGTGGCTGCCCCAGTGCTGCAGCTGGCTCTGGTGACGGTGGCACGGCATGGCCCCGAGCTTGGGAGAACAGCGGCCTGCACACACGGTCACGCATCACCGCTCGGCGGAGGATGGGAATATCTCATGGAGATCTGGATCTCAACCCCACATGGGACAAGGGCCCAGGGACCTGGCTTTCCTACACACCAGCTGGAAGGCTGACTCCCCATCTCACGTGAATGCTTCCTTGGTTTTGGGGGGCACTAGGAAGGTCCCCAGGG
Source organism: Homo sapiens (assembly GCF_000001405.40). Taxonomy (NCBI): domain Eukaryota; kingdom Metazoa; phylum Chordata; class Mammalia; order Primates; family Hominidae; genus Homo; species Homo sapiens. The sequence continues at coordinate 44,329,418 of NC_000021.9, forward strand.
CCACGGGTCACTGCCCAGATTGTGGCATCCTCATAAGACTTGCGACTCTTCCCAGAGGAAAGAAAACCCCTCTCAGATGCTCCAAGGACTCCCCTAGTCTAGCTGCTTCCTGTGCCAGGCCCGGACCCCAGGGCGAACAGGCCTGTTCATCCACAACCTCACAGCTGAGGGCCCTCCTGCAGTTCTTCACAGGAGAGAGAAAGGAAGGCGCACCTGCCCAGCCCGGCCAAGAAAACAAAACTCTCTCCCATGGGTGCGGGAGGCTGCTGCCTGCCTGCTGAGCAGCTCAGGGCAGATGTCGCTATGGGTGCCAGCATTCTCGAAGTCTCCCTTGCCCAACAGAAATCTATCCAAGGACCAAGGGCTGGAATCGGCAAAGCCATCCGTGAAGACCTCCTCATTCTGTGGAGAAACGGCCCTTGCTTTCAGGAAGACTGTCACAACCATGCCTTGGGAAACGTCACCTCCAGATCAACCTTGGGAAAATCTTTTATTAGGGAGGACAGCCTGCAAAATCCTCCCTTTAAGAGCCCAGGCCAGCCTAGAACCTCCAGACCACAGAAGGGGAGTCCTGGGGACAGGACTGGTGTAGACAGGCATCTCCACCGCCCCGGTTAGCCAGTACCTAACACCCACTCCTGCCCTCGGCCGATGTGGCAAACCGGGGAGGCTTTTGTGTGGGGCCGGGGCTGCGGCCATGGCAGCCACCCTCCAGCTCCCGGGGGCTGGGGAAGACGCTGGGGTCCCCGTGGAGGCTGGAGCGGCGTTCAGGTCCTGCGGTCACTCGGCGTGCTCCTGCACCTCTTCCCCACGCAGGGCCTGCAGCCGGCTGCCCACAGTCTGCTGCACGGCCTCCAGCCCCTCTGCATCCAGCTCCCGCAGCAGCAGCAGGATGGCAGTCAGGACGTTCTGAGGGCAGAGGGGTGCGGACTAAGCCCACCCGGCACGGCGAGGCTGCTTCCCTCCACAAGGGCTGGGGCCTGGCCAGCGGTGCCCCACCACGGAGCGACTGGTCCCGGGGGTGTGGGCCGTCCAAGTGACTGACCGGCACACTCGGAGAATCTGAGCAGAGGAGCCCCGCCTGTGGACGCGTGTGTGGCACCTCTTCCACGTGACTCCTGTTGCCCTCAGCCCAGCAGGGCCCGGGCCCACATTCCACAGACCAGGACAGCAGGAGAGGCTGAGGGGCCAGGACGGCTCCGTGCGGGGCACGTGTTACACGTGTGTGCGCATTCACAGACCCGCACACGCAGCTCCCCCTGGGGCACAGCTCTTCAAGGCCCTGTGAGGCTCCATGCTCCCTCCCCACGGGGCCCTGTGAGGCTCCATGCTCCCTCCCCACGGTTTCTGTGCAGTGGGTGCAGTGGGCAGAGGCAGCCGCGGCCCCTAGCGGCCCGCCACTCACCCTGCCCCTGTGGCTGCTCGAGGCATCCCTGGCTGAGAGGGAAGGAAACTGGCCCCGGGAAGGCGGCTTCAGGCCACGTTCATCCTGGGCGCCGCTGCTGAGAGGGAGACAAAGGCGTGTGAGGGTCAGGGGGCTCGTGGCACCGGGGGGGCCTCTGCAAACCCTGTCTGCGGGTCGCATCCAAGCAAAGGAGGGGCTCATACAAATCCCACCTGGCACACGGGGGCAAGAGAAGGGAGGCAACTCCTGGGAGGTCAGGGGCTACAGATGGCAGCTCCTGGAGAGCCCGGCACTTACTTCACCTGTGGGGCGCCCTCCCGGCACCCTGGGGCTCCCCAGCTGTAACACCTTCCACCCAGGGCTTCAGGGGCAGGGTGGGGGGCACCCGAACACACAAATGCCGGGGGAGAGCTCCTGACCATGGGGTCAGGCCCTGTGCCGGATGGCAGATGCCTAACAGAGATCACATCCCGATGCCCCCACCACAGGCACCAGCAGCGGGTGTGATCTGCCAAGCAGGAGAGAAGTGCCCAGCTTCTGTCAAATGCGTTCGTGACCCGCTGCCAACTGCCCTGGGAGGCGCCGGCGTCTCACTGCAGAGTCAGCCCTGTGGCCCCTCCACGGCCCCCAGGCCCAAGGCCATACGGGCACTGATGGCCGTGCCCACAAACCATTCCAGTCACTGTGGCCCTAGGCCACCCCCCCCACCAGGGGCTCCCTGCACCTCACGAGCTCTGGTGCTGTGAGCCTTCTCTGTGCCAGGGCACGGGGCCTGGCTCACCCCCTCTCCTGCTCCCTGGCACATCCGCTGTTGGGCAAAACATGGACCTGCCACTGAAATCACTACCTGGGCACTGAGTCACTCCCAGAGAATATGGATGAGAACAGACACTCCCCCCGGATAATCCCTGTCCCTCACTTCCCAGAGACGCAGCTCACGGGAAGCCCCATTCACTCCCCGTGGGAGGACCCTGGGGGACAGGGATGGGCTGCGGAGTCCCCGCTGCCCTCCAGCCTCACGTTGCCTCCTCCTCGCTGTCCAGCGGGTCCCGGCCAGTCTCAGCAGCGGAGCTGAGGGAGCTCAGTGTGCAGCATAGCTTGGGGCCGCCGTGGCCTGTGCCCTCTCTCTCTGGGGCCGCAGTGATCTCCTCTCCCTCACTCAGTGCACGGGACAGCTCCTCCTCCGTCACAGCTTTGGGATGAAAGACAGAAGACAGCATGAGTGGCCTCACCCACGTGCAGGCCACATGCACTGCAGCTCCCGTCCTCACTGTGGCTTCAGGCACAGTCTGCTTGTGAAATGCATGCACGTGTATCCACCTCCAGGGACAACTCCCAGAGTAGCAGCCGGTTCCTCACTGTCCCATCCCCAGCCTGGCACAGGCTGACACACAACAGATGGTGGAGGGCTGCTCAGGAATCTCAACACCAGCCTTGGCCAGAAGCAAATACTCCTCAAAACCTCAACTAAGACACAATAGAAAAAGGAACAGACCATATTGAATTTATTCCATTTCTCTCATATATCAATTTCCCTGAAGTTTATATTATTAATATCAATAAAATTGTCTGGGAGAAAATAGTGGTGTCTGTATACCTGACAAGGATGAGACACTAGTGTGCTGAGAATGCCAAGGATGAACAAACAGCATGAAACCACAGCCTGGAAAACTGTGTCGGTGCTGGCGCTGGCTAGAGGAGGCACGAGTGCCTCCAATAGGTGGAGCGCAGCAGCAGGCACTGCGGTGCTGGGACGGCCCCTCCCCACGGCAGGGGCGCGATGGCACCGCCACCCTAGGTTCACAGTGGCCCGTGGAGCCTGCCCAGTCCCTGTGGACCAGTGCGATGCTGCTTGCCAGATACTGACGCCCCCGCTCGCCATGGCGCATGGCGATGGTCAGAGCAGGGCTGCTACTCACAGAAGCAAAAGAAGGAACCCTTTTGCTTTGCTACCAGGTCCTGCGGTCGTTGGGGGATACCCAAACTGTCAGTCCCAGGAGGGACCCTACGCTGCGCTGCTGCATTCGGGTGGCGGGATCAAGAGGAGACACAGAAGCCAGGGGAACAGCCTCTGGAGGAGACTTCACAGGACACATCTATGTCCCGCCAGACCAGGTATTTGCAGAAAAGGAGAAGAGAAAAGAGGGCTGGGGACATCCCCTTCCAGGGATTGTTTTGGGAGGGCCGGTGACTCCGCTGCGGCCACCTACCCTGGTTGTCCAGCTTCTGTAGGCGCGGCAGGGTGCGCAGCACGGTCATGCGGTAGCGGTGGGGGCTGGTGCCGCAGCACGGGTTCTCGGCCAGCCACAGCACCCGCAGACGCGGCAGCCCCTTCAGGTAGAAGAGCTCAGCCAGGCTGGGGATGCGGTTCCTCCGCAGGTACAGCTCACTCAGGCGCTGGCACCGGCTCACAGGCTCCAGGGTGGAGATGCTGTTGACACTGCACGGAGACCAGCACAGTCAGCGAGGGACGTGGCCAGGGCCCCCAGGGCCACCTCTCAATCCCCACCCCCAGTAAAAGGCACTCATGGGACCTGTGTCCCTGCCCTCTCCTGAGAAGCCTAAATCGGATGTCACAAGTCACGTGCAGCAGGACCTGGGCCGAGGAGAGAGCTGTAGGAAGGCCAGGCCCTGAACTCAAAGGCGGACTGGGGTGGACCCCACCAGCAACAGCCCCTTGGCCCGACGCTCCACATCAGCTCCTCAGGGCGCTAGAGTGCGGGAGGTGGGGGATGTGGCCCTCCTTCACAGGTGAGGAAAATTAAGGCCTCTCAGGGGACATATCATGTTGCCCCAAAGCAGGGAGCGGCCAGAAAAACTCATGGCAAAAACTAGGAGCCAGCTCCACGTGACATGGGAGTGAGCACGGACCTTCCAAACCCCCACTTGAGGGCGGCAACACTGGGGATGGGCCTCATTTCCATTCTACAGAACGTGGACGCGTCAGAGAAGAGAAACAGCAGGCCTGGAGCGGGGACCTGCAGGCTTTACCCTGCAGCGTGGGGTCCGTCCCCTCCACAAGCGAACACGCGGAGCCGCTCCCGCAGGCCCTCAAAGGCGCGGAGCCAGGGCCCCCTGCCTGGAGGGCTGCACTCGCGTCCGGCAGGCGCCTCAGAAGGGCGGTCACCAGGCCCCCATGGGCAGCCTGCCGTCCTGAGCCCCCCTCCCCATGCCATCCCTTCACTCGGGGTTTCCCAGGTCTCATGCAGCTCCTAGCTATGAGGCCGCCCCATTTTACCAAGAGCAAAACTCCGGCTGTGGGACTCTTTCCAGGATGGGGTCTGCCTCAGGCACAGGCAGCAGCGTGATGTACCGACCGCGTCCGCGGCCTCGAGGCTTCCTGCTCCGCTCCAGTGCAGTCAGGCGTGCAGGCACCACGCACCTGAGCTCGGTCAACACCCCTGGGGTCCTGTCCCTCCCGAGATGTGACAGAAATGGCCCCACACACGAGCGGCCTGATGCTCGGAGGCCCTGTGGCCCCTGGGTGACTCAGTGAGCGGCAGGGATAGGGCTGGATCCACAGCCCCGCCCCAAGCTTCCTGCCACCGTGGGAACCACAAGCTCCACGTTTCCCTGTCAGGTAAGCCTTTCGGAGGCAGGCCTGAAATCCCAGCCTCACTGTGTCGCCTGACTAGTGAAACGAGCCCCGCGGCAGGCACGCGCACCCCCCCTCAACCTCTGGGCGGGCACGCGCACCCCCCCCCCCCCCCCGCTCAACCTCTGGGCGGGCACGCGCACCCCTGCTCAACCTCTGGACTCGGGCTCCATCTCCTCCTCATCTCCCTGTGGGGTGGGCACTTGTAATACCTCCATGTTACAGAAAGGAAACTGAGGCACAGAGAGGGCCATGCCTCGCCCAAGGTTAGCCAGCCAATAGATGGGAGGGCTGAGATTTGACCCATGAGCATGCCTCCAAGCCCATTTCATTCATTCAGCAAGGCTCGGGCAGGACAGGCTGGTGCCCGCGCTGGGGATGCCTGAACACCAGATGGACTGGCCTCAGCCCATGGCGGGCAGCAGGCTGGGCACGGGCATCAACATGGCAATGCCAACCTCAGAGGGCATTACGGAGGATGGGCAGGGGCTGGCCTACCCCGTGGCTGCCTGTGAGATCAAGAAGGTAGGTCACAGTCAGGGACCAGGGGCCTGCAATACCCACTCTCAGAGGGCAAGCCCTAGAGACTTCTGAGCTGCCAGAGGGGTGGGCCTTCCCCACAGGGTTTAAACCCTTGTGAGCTTTTAAATGCGGAAACCCACAGAAGGCGCCCATCCAGCGTCTGGTGGGCAGTGGTGAGCCATGAGCGTCTGCTCCCTCCGTGGGTCCCACAGTAGGCAGGAGGGAATTCAGGGATAAAGGGAGCTCTTCTCTTCCCCAGAGCCCCCAAATACACCCCAACTGCCTGAAAGTCCAGTAACATTTGTTCATTCAAGCTTCCCTTAGTCTGCTGGGAGGGCAGTGACCCCAGAAGACGGGCACAGGTCATGGGGTGCAGAGAAACTGGTAGGCAGTGGTGGCACTGGGGGGCAGAAGAGGCCAGGACTCTGGGGGTCCCAGGGCAGATGTGGCCACCGTGGGGGCGGCCAGGGCGGGCCACCGTGAATCCTTAGGAGGGCTCCACCACCGACTGGCCCAGTGAACACAGCAATGGCTTATCGGAGCACACAGGCCAAGGGTGGGCAGGCGTACAGCAGGGCAGGCAGGGGACAGGAGCCATCAGGAGGCCCAGGTGAGGCTCTGAGGAAGGAGGGCTGAACATGGGGGCCACAGGGTAGGCCCAGCTCTCGCTGTCCCGGCCCCTCCCCTTCTGGAAGCCGCCCTCAGTCTGTGTTGGAGGTTTCCAGGTTATGTCACAGTGCTGGGTCCCACTGGAGGGACGTGAGGCTCTGCCCCGGCTTCCAGGCCCCAGGCTGAGCATGACAGCAGGAGCGAGGTACCTGAGCGTGATCACCTCCAGGCTGGGCATCTCCTGGCAAATGGAGATCTAGGAGGAAAAGAACATGACTAGCAAGCATGGCACAGCAGGGCATCGCGGCCGCACTGCCATCAGCCACAGAGAACTGTCGAAGCCACGGCCAACCCACTTCCGGGGCCTGAGGGGCACGGCCTTACTCAGCCAGTGTGCCCAGGGTGAATGCCCAGGGCCTGAGGGGAGCGGCCCTGCTCAGCCAGTGTGCCCAGGGTGAATGCCCAGGGCCTGAGGGGAGCGGCCCTGCTCAGCCAGTGTGCCCAGGGTGAATGCCCAGGGCCTGAGGGGAGCGGCCCTGCTCAGCCAGTGTGCCCAGGGTGAATGCCCAGGGCCTGAGGGGAGCGGCCCTGCTCAGCCAGTGTGCCCAGGATGAATGCCCACGAGTATGCCAGGTTCTCCTCTGACACCACCTTGCAGCCCAGACGCCCCGCAGACTGAAGGAGAAATGTGAGGCTCCTCCTTGCACGCACTCTGTCTTTATTAAATTTTACGACAGCATCGTTGCTGTCAGATGCTGCCAGCAGTGGAGACAGAGCATTCATTACTTTAGATGCCCTCAAAGGACATCAGGTAAGGGGACCCCAATGTCCCCTACGCAGGGATAGAAAGCAAGGAAAGGATGGAAATCCCTTCTTGATAACAGGTCTAGGCCAAAAGGAAGACAGGCTTGAGACTGGATCTCAGATCACATTGGTACTGTCAATTCAGGGGTGAGGTGCCCGGGGTGGTCCACAAAGCCTCACAACCTGCAAAGCTCCCACATATGTGAGAGCCCACCATACGCCAGGCATGGCACCAGCAGCTCACAGCCTGGTCAGATGCGTCCCATGTATAAGTGACTCGTGTCTATGGACATGGTACGTTTGTATATTCACTGCTAAACATGCAGTATTTCAGTTACAGCACAAAACAGATTACACCCAGATGCCACGTATCCAGGCTTTTTTTTGTCTTTAAGAAAAGGTACAGTTCAAATTAAAAAAACAAAGGAAAATAAAGAGATAAATAATTGCGCTGGACATGGTGGCTCATACCTGTAATTCCAATACTTTGCGAGGCTGAGGCAGGTGGATCACCTGAACTCAGGGGGTTTGAGACCAGCCTGGCCGACACAGTGAAACTCCATCTCTACTAAAAAGTACAAAAATTAGCCAGGCATGGTGGTGGGTGCCTGTAGTCCCAGCTACTCAAAGGCTGAGGCAGGAAAATTGCTTGAACCCGGGAGGCAGAGGTTGCAGTGAGCCAAGATCGTGCCACTGTACTCCAGCCTGGGCAACAGAGAGAGACTCCGTGTAAAAAAAAAAAAAAAAGAAAGAAACAATTGGTATGCGATCCCTGTGTAAGTTGGGGACATTTTGGACTGAGAAAGACAATGAGGGAGAGAAGAAAAAAATCTTTCACAGACGCACACACTCAAGTTCTCCCAGCAGGGCTTATTCTCTGCCTGCCTTTGGGGCAGCGGCAAGGGGGTACAAGGCTAGATGTGACCAAGAAGAGGGGGTGTAGACCTTCAACTTCCCCGTAACAAAGTAAAACAAGCCCTCCTGGGATTCCTTTCCAGGTGAGAGCAAGTTCCAAACTATTGCTCCCCTCCTCTGCGACCAAGTGACAAAGGGTGTTTCATTTATAGGGATGTTGACGGGAACTGCAAAATAAGCCTGGCACTAGAGAATTGTTTTTCCATTAGTGGTTCTGCAGAATGAAAACCGCTAAGTGAACAAAGTACCAAGTGTGGGACTGAATTGATAGGTGCAGTTTTGTCAACTTAAAAATTCTCTTGGGAAAGAAGCTACAACATTTGGGTTGAGGCTATTTGGAGATGATCAGTGCAATACTTACATCTGTGAGGCAATACTTACATCTGTGAGGCGGCTGCCCCTGGGGAGAGAAAAGATACATACTTTAATTTTGTTAAAGTTGAATAAAAAACACTGAAGACAAAAATTCCAAAAATCACCGATGACTCCCTACAAACCTTAAGATTCTAGGATTTTAATGGCATGGCAAAAAAGGAAGGTTGCCCAGATAACTGGCAAAGGTGTAAACAATTGTTTTAGCTGATTTTCAACTAAACTGTATGTTTGACGTTGGGGTGGTACTTTTTAGATAAGGAGCAGCAGGGTTGCTCCATTTGTAAGACACAAAAAGATGAACTCTTCCTCATGGTCCCTGAGTAGCAGAAGGTTCATTTCTCTCACTGACAGACATAAACAAGGGCGTCTTTATAAGAGGTCAAGTTCAAAGGGTGAACAGGCAACTTATGAAGCAAACTTTAAAAGCCTGAAACAGGGTTGTTGTTTCTCCCAGCTTAGTGGGAGTACTGACCACCCCATGCAAAACAAAGAAATGCATTATTGAAAGCAAATGACACGGGAATTGTAGCCAAAACACCAGATATGCCAGGGCAGAGAGAAAAGCTTTTTAATTAACAGGGAAGAGCTCACTCTGGGCAGTCTGCGGACACCCCTGGGAGGAAGCGTCTGCTCTCGCTGACCCCCACACCCGCCTGCACGGTGAGGCCAGTTGACACGGCGCGGTCACTCTGCTGAGTCCCCAGGGAACCCTGGAGATCTTGCAGGCCTCAACTCCAGGCTCCCTCTTCTGGAAGCTCCTGGTCTTCCTTGGCTCAGTGAGACTCAGCATTACCTGCCTTTCAGCCTGCCTGGGTCCCACCGCACCCACGTCCCTTCCTGTCACCTGCTAGGAGTACCCTGGGAACGGCCGCCCCCAGTACTGATTACCAACGTGTTTCCTGACTCAGTCCTGGAAAGCTCAGTTCTCTCTCCTATTCGACTTGGTCCCAGTGACTGCTGGCAACCCCAGACAACAGACCCAGCCCACAGGGCACCCGGGGCAAAGGCGGGCCGGGAAATGGGGGGGGGCCCAGGCGACCCCGACCCCCGGCCTCCTCCCCTCCCTCACCCGCGGCTCCTTCGCCGCCCTCGCCCCTGCCCCTCCCCCCTTCCACTCCGCCCCCGCCCCGCCCCGCCCCGGCTCCTCCCTCCGGCTCCGCCCTCGTCCCGCCCCGGCTCCTCCCTCCGGCTCCGCCCTCGTCCCGCCCCGGCTCCTCCCTCCGGCTCCGCCCTCGTCCCGCCCCGGCTCCTCCCTCCGGCTCCGCCCTCTCCCCGCCCCGGCTCCGCCCTCTCCCCGCCCCGGCTCCGCCCTCTCCCCGCCCCGGCTCCTCCCTCCGGCTCCGCCCTCGTCCCGCCCCGGCTCCTCCCTCCGGCTCCGCCCTCTCCCCGCCCCGGCTCCTCCCTCCGGCTCCGCCCTCGCCCCGCCCCGGCTCCTCCCCCCACCCCGGGGCGGCCGCGGCCAGGCCCCGCCTCACCAGCAGTTGAGCTTGCGCACGCTGTGCAGCTCCGAGGCCTTGGCCCGGGTCAGAACCATCTTCCGCGTCAGCTTCATGGCGGCCGCCCAGGCCCGACCGGCGGGCGCCCCCGGCCTCCTGATCCCGGGCGGGTGACGACTGCGCGGCGCGTGTCTCCAGGGGCGGGGCCCGCGTCGTCAGGGGCGGATCCTGAGCCGATTGGCGGCTCGGTGAGGAGAGCGGGGCGACGCGAGCCCGCTGGGGCCGCTTGGGCGCCGCTGACACGTTGGCTCTGCTCCTGCTCATGCGCGGCCTGGGGCGCCCTTCTCTGACGCGATTCTAACGCGACCCCGGAAGCGCGCAGCGAGCAGAGGGTGGGTGCAGGTGGCGGTCCCCGAGTCGGCCCAGTGAGGGCTGAACTGCTGCTCCCAGGAACCGAGCGGGGTGGGCTCGGTCCGACGCGCATCATGGCCGAGTGCCTAGGCCTGACTCTGAGCGCAGGCCTAGCGTGGATGGCATGGGCGCTACACAGCTCCAAGTTACGCGATTCAAACTCTTGGAATAAACCCAGGGCAGCCCTGGGGCTGTGTTGATTCCTTGTCTCCCTCCCTCCCAGCATTTACAGAAAAGACGCATTTATAGGAAAGACGCACGGGCAGGTCCAGCAGAGCCCTTACAAGCATTTCAACCTTTTAGAAATCAGATAAGACCCTCTAAACATCGTTACATGGGCCACAGTTACATTAAGACAGGCGTTCTGACGTTCTGAAACCGCCTTTGCAAAAAATTGTATCGGTGAGAGAAGGTTGGCCTTGAAGGAGATCTGGCCAACCCCCATCTTGCCTTTGGCCTTAAAACTGCCCTTAATTATTCCTGGATAAGCAAAGGTAACTTTGGGAGACATTTATAGTTTAAGTGATAGCAGCCCTTCCTCAAAACTAAACAGCCTTTGTAAAGCTAATGAGACCACTGAAACCGCCTTTGCAAAAATCATAACTGAAGAAATTATGACAGGGGAAGATCTCCTCACCCACCCCATCTTCCTGCTATCCTCTAAGCTGCTTTTGTTCATTCCTGGGTGTAGACCAGACTAGCCTTGGGAAGGAATTTAGTTTATAGATTAAACTGAAACAAAATTGATAATAGCCCTTTCCCAAAAAAACCCTTCTTGCCTGGGGACCAGTCTGCCTTTGTAGGACTAACAAATTAAGCTACGAGATTAAAAATTACAGTTTAGGGGCCATGCAACCTCTGGCGGCAAGAGTCTGAACCTCCCCAAATTGCTTCTGGGAATAACATCACTGTTGCAAAACTTAAGGTCAGTGCTTGAAATATTTTGTAGACCCTGCATTCAGATGCAGCAGATGACACCACCCAAACGGATAATCTGGCTCAACCATGTGTGTGATCCCACCCAGGGACAGAAGTCAGCCAGAACTCATTTTGACCCCCTATGATTTAATCTTCGACCTGACCAATCAGCACTCACCACTTTCTGAGCCCATACCCGCCAAATTATCCTTAAAAACACGGATCCCCGAATGCTTGGGGAGACTGATTTGAGTGATAATAAAACTCTGCTCTCCTGCACAGCCAGCTCTGTGTGTATTACTCTTTCTCCATTGCAATTCCGTTGCCTTGATAAATCGGTTCTGTCTAGGCAGTGGGCAAGGCGAACCCATTGGGCGGTTACACTACCAGCCTAGAAGGATAGAGGAGCATGAATTCCACTAAGATGCAGATGTAAACATTCGTCAGCCATTATTCTGGAGGTCACAAGATAAGCTACTTCCCCAATTACTCCTGCAGGTAACATCACTATTGTACCTTTGCAGGTTTCTTGCATGTCTCACACGGATGGATCCAGCTAAATGTCTTGCCAACAGCTCCTGTGGCCCCACCCAGAAGCCATGCAGCACAAAAGGACCAAAAGGACAGCTAGATTTCATCTCGCACCTAACCAATCAGCACTCCCCATGCCCTAGCCCCCTGTTCACCAAACTACCTTTGAACAACCCCTAACCCATGAGCCTTCAATTGTAACCGAGCAGCTTAGCAGCTGTGAATCCAAAATATCTGAGACAGGACTCAATCTGTTTAGAAAGTTTATTTTGTCAAGGTTAAGGACAAGCCCATGACACAGCCTCAGGAGGTCCTGATGACATGTGCCCTGGGTGGCTGGGGCACAGCTTGCTTTCATACATTTTTAGGGAGACATGAGACATCAATCAATATGTGTAAGATGGAAAAAGAAGAAAAAATATATGTATAAGATGTACATTAAGCCGGGCGCGGTGGCTCACGCCTATAATCCCAGTACTTTGGGAGGCTGAGGCAGGTGGATGGCCTGAGGTCAGGAGTTCGAGACCAGCCTGGCCAACATAGTGAAACCCTGTCTCTACTAAAAATACAAAAAATTAGCTGGGCGCGGTGGTGGGTTTCACTCGTGTCCATGTGAAGAGACCACCAAACAGGCTTTGTGTGAGCAATCAAGCTGTTTATTTCACCTGGGTGCAGGTGGGCTGAGTCTGAAAAGAGAGTCAGTGAAGGGAGATAAGGGTGGGGCCGTTTTATAGGATTTGGGTAGATAAAGGAAAATTATAGTCAAAGGGGGGTTGTTCTCTGGCGGGCAGAGTGGGAGTCACAAGGTGCTCAGTAGGGGAGCTTTTGAGCCAGGATGAGCCAGGAGAAGGAATTTCACAAGACAATGTTATCAGTTAAGGCAGGAACAGGCCATTTTCACTTCTTTTATGGTGGAATGTCATCAGTTAAGGCGAGAACCAGCCATCTGGATGTGTACGTGCAGGTCACAGGGGACATGGTGGCTTAGCTTGGGCTCAGAGGCCTGACAGTGGGCGCCTGTAATCCCAACTACTTTGGAGGCTGAGGCAGGAGAATCGCTTGAACCCGGGAGGCAGAGGTTGCAGTGAGCCGAGACTGTGCCATTGCACTCCAGTCTGCGCAACAAGAGCGAGACTCCGTCTTAAAAAAAAAAAAAAGATGTACATTAGTTCAGTCTGGAAAGGCAGGACACCTTGAAGGCCGGGTGGGGTTGTGGGGGTGGAGGGAGGCTTCCAGCTTCCAGGTCATCGGTGGATAAGAGACAAAAGATTGCATTCTTTTGAGTCCTTTCACTGAATACACAATTTGGTCTAGCTTAGTAAATCTGCATTTTTACATAAACAATAAGGCAGAGAAAGCAAACAGATAGGCATGTGTCTCCGGTGAGCAGGGGGATGACCTCCTGTCCCACACCTGTGAAGATCAGCTATCAGTTTACATTCCAGGGTGAAATTCAACAGAACTGTTTGAGGGTAAAGATCTTGAGGCCCACAAGGAATTTCCTTGTGGGCAAATTGTGAGGGAGCTTCATAGCTTTTTATCTTTGTAGCGATCTTATTTAGGAATAAAATTGGAGGCAGGTTTGCCTGATGCATTTTCCAGCTGACTTTTCCCTTGACTTAGTGATTTTAAGGTCTTGAGCTTTATATTCCTTTCACACAGCTAAGCCTCAAACCATGTTTTAAAACTTTTTCCCCTTTCCCCTTTCCTCCTCCTCCACCCTAGTCTGAAGATGTAACTGAGACAAGCTGCTTGTGTTACCTTCCATCTTGAAATACAGCCTGGGAATGTGAACCTCCACTCCGTTCCCATCCTGTGCTCTCAGGCCTTATGCACATTTAGTTTACCTGGATGCCTGTTAAGCACACACCATGCTCACTTATCTGGTCATCTCTTTGCTTGGAAGCTTCAGGGGTCAGCTCCTGAAAGGGACCGGACACCTCATTCTGTCTCCAACAAGATTACTTCAAGGCCAGAACTCACTCTCGGCCTTGAAGTAATTGAGGACTAAACTCTGATTTTTCTTTTTTTATCTTGCCCAAATTCCTAAAGGGCATGGACAGTCATGCCCTACAAACCATAAATTCTCATCAGATGGGTTTTATTTAACCTTCTATATCGTGGTGTTGACAAAAAGAGTCAAACTCTGTAAAATATTTTAAGAGATTTATTCTGAGCCAGATATGAATGACCATGGCCCGTGACGCAGCCCTCAGGAAATCCTGAGAACATGTGTCCAAGGTGGTCGGGGCACAGCTTGGTTTTTTACTTTTTAGGAAGGCATGAGACAGCAATCTAATACATTTAAGAAATACGTTGGTTTGATTCAGAAAGGCGGGACAACTCAAAGTGGGGGCTTCCAGGCTATCGGTGAATTTAAACATTTTCTGGTTGACGGTTGAGTTTGTCTAAAGACCTGGGATCCATAGAAAGGAAATGCTCAGGTTCAGATAAAAGACTGTGGAGACCGCTGGGCACGGGGGCTCACGCCTGTAATCCCAGCACTTTGGGAGGCCGAGGCGGGCGGATCGCGAGGTCAGGAGATCGAGACCATCCTGGCTAACACGGTGAAACCCTGTCTCTACTAAAAATACAAAAAACAAACAAAAAAATTAGCTGGGCATGGGGGCGGGCGCCTGTAGTCCTAGCTACTCGGGAGGCTGAGGCAGGAGAATGGTGTGAGCCCGGGAGGCGGAGCTTGCAGTGAGCCGAGATTGCGCCACTGCACAGAAAAAAAGAAAAAAAAAGACTGTGGGGACCAAGGTTCTTTTGAAGTCTTTAATGGCTGCCCTTAGAGACAATCGATGACGAATGTTTCCTATTCACACCTTTAAAAGGTGCTAGACTCTCAGTTAATCTCGTCAGGATTGGGAGGGCCTGGAAGAAAAAGATCAAGCTATGTGAATAGAGATTCCTTCCAGATGCACATTTTCTCCCACAAAGGACGGCTTTGCAGGAGCGTCTCAAAATATGGCAGGAAACATGTTTCGGGGTAAAATATTTTGATTTTATTCCTTGTCATGTTATGCCAGAGTCAGATTGGAAAGTAAGTTATGACATATAGGGTTAAATAAAACCCGTCTGATGAGAATTTATGGTTTGTAGGGCATGACTCTCCATATCCCTTAGATAGGAATATAGGCAAGAAAAAAAATCAGAGCTGGCCAGGCGTGGTGACTCACACCTGTAATCCCAGCACTTTGGGAGGCCAAGACGGGCAGATCACGAGGTCAGGAGATTGAGACCATCCTGGCTAACATGGTGAAACCCCGTCTCTACTAAAAATACAAAAAATTACCTGGGCGTGGTGGTGGGCACCTGTAGTCCCAGCTACTTGGGAGGCTGAGGCAGGAGAATGGCGTGAACCTGGAGGGCGGAGCTTGGCAGTGAGCCGAGATCGCGCCACTGCACTCCAGCCTGGGCCACAGAGCGAGAATCCACCTCAAAAAAAAAAAAAAAAAAAATCAGAGCTTAGTCCTCAGGTTGGTGTAAGATGTGGGATGACAGAAAAGTCTCAGAGCAGTGCCTTCTGAGCTCTTCTACACCAAGCAGGCAGAATGTTCACTGCTAATGAGTCTGGAGCTGGTCCCCAGCAGTGGTAGGAAGCTTCCAACAGGCTCAGGCTGTGGGTGCTTGCAGGGGCACAGTGTGACGGCCACGGGCCTCAGAGCTCTGGTGGGCTCACGAAGGCTCCACTGGACCTACGTCACAGCCTTGGCCCCCTGCCCAGCCCTGGGCCTCCCTTCTTACAGGGGGTGAGTTAGGCACGCTGCTCCCCAGTAAATCTCAGGGGGCTACACACAGAGCCTGCTTCCCAGAGACACGCAGAGTGGGGGACACAGGAGCTTCCTGTCGAGTCTTTGAAGCAAGGCCACCACCGCCATCACCAGGCACACAGGGCCGACACCCGCTTTGTGGTTTCAGCCAGTGGGTCGGGGTTTCTGGCTTGCAGCTAGGGATACTGCTGAGGACAAGGTACCATGGATCAACCGCTGCTCCCTCCTGCCCTGACAGCTGGGAGCTCTGCAGGGCTCAGCAGGGCAGGCTCACCCCCAACTCATGCAAACGCTATCCTGATGACACCTGCTGCTGAGTCCCATGCGCCCCAGGCCCCGTCCTTGTCTCTTCTTTCCTCCACCACCTTCGCCCCATAGGTGACACCCCCAGTCCAGACCCCCTCCAGGCCGATACCCTAGTCACCTGCATTGCATAACAAATCACCCCCAGACTTAGCAGCTCACAATAGACATCGCTGTCTCCCGGTTTCTGAGGCTCAGGCATCTGGAGCAGCTGAGCTGCATGGCTGGGCTCAGCCTCCTGGGAGGGAAAGGGGGGCCGTCTCTGAGGACCTGGCTGAGGTCTCCTAGCTGCCCCACAAGCTGTCGGTGGGAGGCTTCGCTCCCTGCAACATGGCCTCTCACAACATGGCCTCCCAAGGAGTGAGGGATGAGGGGGGCAGGGAGAGGGGGAGAGGAGGAGAGGGAGACAAATGGAGAGTCAGCAAACATGTTCCGGAGCTGAAGTTTTCATGATCTCGGAGTGACCACCTCTCCCCTGCCCATGTTGCTGGCCTCGCCACCCACCTGGTACGACTCAGGGGCAGAACCTGGTCCACCCTGGAGGCTCTGGGCTCCACACCACATCCCTGAGGCAAACTTTGGAACTCCTCGGGTGGCAGGTGCAGCACACCCCTCCCAGATGCCCTTGGGAACTCGAATCTTCTCCCTTGGTCTCAGGAGCCAGTGCGGTGGGTAGCCTGCCTGACCCCCTGCTGACCGAGGACCTCCCCACCGGCTGGTGCTGCAGATGGTTCAGATTCCTGTGGCAGGTCAGAGCCAGGCCTGGGAGAAGGGACAGGCAGCACGTGTTGATTTACATTTTTTCAGTGTCCTGAGAGGTCTTCAGGCCTCGTGGTCATTTCCAGCTCCGTTCTCGTAATTGCCATTCTGGGAGCCATTGGCGCAAGGGCACCTGGCACAGAGAGTTTACAGTGGCCACGCTGGCTGCAGTCTTTACCCTGGCGTGGCATCCATCGCTGTCCTTTCACATTTTAAGAACAGTTCTGCTGTATATTTCCAGAATGCAGATGACTCTGTGGACTCCAGAGATGAAAAGAAACATGTCTGTTCCCTCAGCCTGAAGCCCTGCTCTAGACCAGGTGTCGGCAAACTGCAGCCCACTGGCTAGATTGGGCCCGCCATCTGTTTGCAAATAAAGGTTTTTCTTTCTTTCTTTCTTTCTTTTTGAGATGGAGTCTCACTCTGTCACCCAGGCTGGAGTGCAAGGGCCTGATCTTGGGTCACTGCAACCTCCCCATCCTGGGTTTAAGTGATTCTCCTGCCTCAGGCTCCTGAGTAGGTGGGACTATAGGTGTCAGGCCTCTGAGCCCAAGCTAAACCATCATATCCCCTGTGACCTGCACGTATACATCCAGATGGTCGGAAGTAACTGAAGAATCACAAAAGAAGTGAAAATGGCCTTAACTGATGACATTACCTTGATTCCTGCCTTAACTGATGACATTACCTTGTGAAATTCCTTCTCCTGGCTCAGAAGCTCCCCCACTGAGCATCTTGTGACCCCCACCCCTGCCCGCAAGAGAACAACCCCCTTTGACTGTAATTTTCCACAACCTACCCAAATCCTATAAAACAGCCCCACCCCTATCTCCCTTTGCTGACTCTCTTTTCGGACTCAGCCCACCTGCACCCAGGTGAAATAAACAGCCCTGTTGCTCACTCAAAGCCTGTTTGATGGTCTCTTCACACGGACACACGTGACAATAGGCATGCACCACCATGTTCGGCTAATTTTTTGTATTTTATTAGAGACAGGGTTTCACCATTTTGGCCAGGCTGATTTCAAACTCCTGGCCTCAACTAATCTGCCCGCCTCAGCCTCCCAAAGTGCTGGGATTACAGACGTGAGCCACCGTGCCCAGTCCGCAAAGTTTAATTAATATTAGTGCCCAGCTATACTGTATTTGTTCATTCTTGCATTGCTATTAAAAAACCCCTCAGATTGGGTAATTTATAAGGAAAGAGGCCTAACTGGCTTACGGTCCTGCAGGCTGTACAGGAGGCATGGTGGCTTCTGCTTCTGGGGAGGCTTCAGAAGCTTCCGATCATGATAGAAGGCAAAGCGGGCAGGTGTCTCACATGGCAGGAGTAAGAGAGAGAGACAGGGGCAGGTGCCACACACTTAAACGACCAGATCTTGCAAGAACTTACTCACTATTACGGGAACAGCACCAAGAGGATGGTGTTCAATCATTCATGAGAAATGCCTCCTTGATCCAATAACCTTCCACACTGTGGATTACAATTTTTTTGAGACAGAGTCTCGCTCTGTTGCCCAGGCTGGAGTTCAGTGGCACGATCTCGGTTCACAGCAACCTCTGTCTCCTGGGTTCAAGTGATTCTCCTACCTCAGCCTCCGAGTAGCTGGGATTACAGGCGCACACCACCACGCCTGGCTAATTTTTGTATTTTTAGTAGAGATGGGGTTTCACCATTGGACAAGGCTGGTCTTGAACTCCTGACCTCAAGTGATCTGCCTGCCTCGGCCTCCCAAAGTGCTGGGATTACAGGTGTGAGCCACTGTGCCTGGCCTGGGGATTACAATTTGACATGACATTTGGGTGGGGCACAGAGCCAATCCACGTAACATACTGATTCATTTATGTAGTTGATCCTCGAACCACTCAAGAGTTGGGGGCTTCAACACCCCTTAAAGTTGAAAATCTGTGCATAACTTTTGACTCCTCCAAAACTTAACTATGAGTAGCTCACTATTGACCAGAAGGAAGGCTTACTGATAGCATCAACACATATTTTGTATGTTGTATTATAAACTGTATTCCTACAATAAAGGGAACTAGAGAGAAGAAAATGTTATTAAGAAAATCATAACGAAGATAAAATATATTTACATTAAGTAGAAGCAGGTCATCATAAAGGCCTTGCCGTCTTCCTGTGAGTAGGAGAAGGGGGAGGAGGAGGGGGTGGTCTAGCATCTCAGGGGTGGCAGAGGCGGAAGAAAATCTGCATAGAAGTGGATCCCCGCAGCTGAAACCCGTGTCGTTCAGGGTCAGCCGAATGGCCCACGGCTGCCTTCCCACTGCAAGGGCAGAGGCGAGGAGCTGGGACAGAGACCACGTGGCCGGCAAAGCCTGCCACAGCGACCATGCGGCCCTGTGCAGAGAGTTTGCTGCTCCTGCTCTAGCTGGGACCTCCCTCCTTCCTGGAGTGTCCTCTGAGGAGCCCGCCGCCTGTCACCTGCTCCCGCGCCTCACTCAGGACCAGAGTGTGCCAGTGCCTGCGGCCCTGTCACTGCCTTTTTCTCCAGTTGTGGTTTCCTCCTGCTGCCAGAGCAGGGCCCTTTTTACCTGGGCCTCGTGCCCACACCGTGAGAAACACTTTGTGCCAAGTGCTTTCTCCTCTGAACTCGAGAGGACTCTCCATGGAGATTGGTACCTGCCAATCGGGTTTTATGGTCGCGTGTCCTCTCTTTTATGGGAAGAATATCGTGTAATTGCTACTGCAGCAGCGTCCGGGCAGACAGACGTGCAGTGTGCGGTTCTTCTCTAGAAAGGCAGGAGCCGCTCCCAGGGCGATGTGGGCCCGGCTGTTTCATCAGAGATGGTCAGCTTGGTACCTACTTCACCTTAAATGATGTTCCCACAGAGGCCCCGGGATACTTGGAAACAAGCGCCCAGCCCCTCTCGCAGATGGCTCTGCAGTTACGACTGTCTTATAAAATATTAACTGCCTTGCGGTATGTTTTTAGTTAACGAGATGGCTCTCTAGCCAGAAAGCACCCAGGGCAGGGGCACTGGATGGGGCTCTGCTGACATGGAGCGGGTGAAAGGGAGGGCGTCTTCACCTCCTTTGTCTGTTAAGGGGGCTCTAAGACACCTCTCTGGGGGTGTTGCTGATTGTGATAGGACCCAACTCCTGCAGTGGGTGCTCGTCGAGCACATCTAGTTGCAGGGTGGACCGGGCGAGGACTGTACCGTCCAGCAGGGCGCAGCTGCGGGTGTGTGGGGACACTGTGTCTAGTTGCAGGGTGGACCGGGCGGAGGACTGTACCGTCCAGCAGGGCGCGGCTGCGGGTGTGTGGGGACACCGTGCTGGCCACTCTGGAGGGCAGCTTCCGGCCATGCTTGTGCAGAGCACAGTGTCCTGAAGAGGTGACAGTGTCCTGAGTGCTGTCCTACACCAGGGGCTATGACCGCCTTCCCACCACTTTGCAGGCACCAGGATGGTGGGTTAGTGAGATGGTGGACATCCTTGGGCGCGCCAGCACCGCTGGCTGGCTCATCTGCGGAGGGCCTTCCAGAGGCGTGTGCTCTGGGCAGTAGTCTGGGCAGCAGGCCTGCACACCCAGGGAGGAAATGAGGGTGGCGGGTCAGGCAGTAGTCTGGGGGCACCCTCCCTCCTCCCAGATCAGAGGCCACAGGACCTCTTCACTTCCCTGGACATGGAGGCCAGCAGGGCCCAGGAATGGCAGCCGGGTATCGCCCGCTGGTGGCAAGGAAGGGGCGGACAGTGTGGCTTTGTGGGGTGAAAGGGCGTCTGGGTCACTTGGGAAAGGCACATTCGCCTTCTCAGGCATCAGAGGGCAGTCCCCGTCCCTCCCCAAGCCAGAGAGTGGGCAGCACACAGGGTGGAGTTAGACATCCATGGGGCCCCGTGGCCAGCACCTGCCGCGATGGGGACTGCTGGGCTTGATCTTTCTGGCTGTTCCTGTCCCCTCCACTGTGACACATCCAGGGAGCAGGCCCTGAGCCTGCCCCAGCCTTGGGGTCCTGCCTCTCTCACTGGGAATGGTCCCTGGCTTGGGGCCACATCTGGGGTGCTGGGGGAGGGGGCTGCAGAGGTCTTCGAGAAGGGGGTCCTGGGTCTCGTTGTGGGGGGGGTCTCACTCAGGCCCAGGTCCCCCTGCGACTCCTGCCCTGCCTTTCCCGCTCCCGTTGGCCATTCAGGGCTTAAAGATAATCGCGGCACTCGCCGGTTTAAAAGGAGACACGTGCCCCCAACCCTCCGAAGGCACACATCCGCGCGAGGGTCCGGTTCCAGGTCTCTGGGGGAGGGCGGGCTCGCAGGCGGGGTGTCTGGGCCCAGCCTTCCCTGGCGTGTCCTTGGCTCTAGCTGCGGGCGCGGGACGCGGCGCGGGAGACGCTCTCCGGGCTGAGTGACGCAGAGCGCTGCGGGCGGCTCCACTGCACCGGGCACGCGGCGCACGCTCGGGCGAGATGTGGATGGCCCCGCGGGGCCAGGGCGGCGGTGCTGCGCGGGGACGCGGGTGACGCCGGGGCGCGGGCGGCTCCGAGCAGGTAGGTGCCCGCCGGGGCCGGGGCGAGGGCGCGAGCCCGGGTGCGGGGACTGAGGCGGCCGTCCCGGGAGCTTGTGAAGGTTGAGGCGGGGTGCAAGGGCGCGGATCGGGGTGCCGAGTGCGTGCAGGGGTGCGGGGTGCGGGGACCGAGGCGGCCGGCCCCGGTGCTGCTGCAGGGCGCGGCGGAATGCAGGGGCGCGGTGGGGTGCAGGGGCGCAGGCGGGGTTCGGGGCGCTGGTGCAGGGCGCGGTGGGGTGCAAGGGCGCAGGCGGGGTTCGGGGCGCTGGTGCAGGGCACGGCGGGGTGCAGGGGCGCGGGTGGGGCTCGAGGCGCTGGTGCAGGGCGCGGTGGGGTGCAGGGGCGCGAAGGGGCTCCGGGCACTGGTGCAGGGTGCGGTGGGGTGCAGGGGCGGGCGGGGTTCGGGGCGCTGGTGCAGGGGCACCGGTGGGGTTCGGGGCGCGGACTGGAGCACCCAGTGTGCGCAGAGGCGCGGGGCGCTGACTGGGAGCCGGGTGCGGTCTGTCTGCGGGACGCCTTGCCGCTGGAGCGACCCTGTCCGGCTGGCGCGAGGGGACCCGGGGATGAGGGACTCAGCCGTCCTCGTGCCCCTGCCCGTCCGCCGGGACAGCAGGCCCCGCTTCTGGGGCGCTTACTTCCTCCGTCCCCGCACCCGCCTCTGCCTGCCCAGTCTCCGAAGCGCTGGCTTTCACGCGGGGATTTCAGAAGATGCCCGAGCAACCTCCAGAGAGGGCAGGGAGGCCACACGGTGTACCGAGGGAGTGCAGGGCGCGCCTGTCCCAGTCCTGCTGGTGCCAGAGGCCCGCCCTGCCCAGACAGAACCTTCCATTTCCCCGGGGAATCTGCTGGGCTGGGCTGGGCTGGCTGGGGGCGGGTGGGCACACCAGGATCCTCTCGAGTCGCCTGGTCCTGGGCTCGCGTGCCAACGAGTCTTCTTGAATTCGGCCTAGGTGATGGTGGTAGTGGTCTTCCCGCTGCCACCCCTGCCATGCGGGACCCCCGGGGCTGAGGGAGGGGCTGCTCAGTGGCTAACCCTGAAGGGTAGGGAATGCTGCCCCAACCCACACTCCCTGGGGCTCCACTGCCCCCTTTCTCCGGGAATAGCTCTGTGCAGGGCTTGGGTTTGGAAATCCACCCACATGGGGCCTTGCCTTGCTCAGGCCTGCTTCATGCATCTGTCTTCTGGAAGCTCATTTCCTGAGTGCTCTCAACACTCACACCTGTGCCAGTTGCTTGTGGAGAATTTTAGCTGTGAACCAGGGTGGCCCAAGCTGTTCTCAGGTGACTTGTGAGAAAGGGATTGAGCCTGTAATTTTGGGTAGAAGAACCCCAGAAAGGGCTGGATGGGCCCTTGGAAGGTCGTTGCCAGGCCTGGGTTTTCAGGGTTCTGCACCCCTGGGCTGAGGCTGAGGCACCCGTCCTGTTGGGCACTGGGTCGAGCCATTGGCCCCCCCACAGCGGGCATCAGATGCTCACAGGGGCTCCTGGCTGCCTCCTGCAAAGTCGGGTGGTGCTGGAGCAGGTCTGACCTGCTTCCCAGGGCCTGCTTGCCTCTGGGATTAGAGGAACCTGCACAAGACCCCAGGGGCTGTGCTGAGGTGGACAGCTGCCTGAAAGATGAGCGTGTGAACAGAACATGCTGGTCTTAAGGCAGAGAGTCCCACACCGTGGACCCTCCCGTCTGATGCTGGGGTCTTCGTTTCCAGCGTGGAGCCATCCTCATCCCGTGCAGGGTGGACCGCCTGCCTGGGGAGCCACCTGCAGTCTGGGTCCCCTTGCGGTGCCACTGCGATCTCTCTAGAGCCTCCTCTTCCTCCTGCCACTGGGGACATCTCTGCCCCTCTGCTTCCCTCGGAAGCTGGTTGTGAAGCCGGGCCAGTGGCTGCGGGGACAGCTCATGGCCCTGGAAAGACCCCACTGGCATGCGGCACAACATCTGCTCTGAGAACTGCAGGAAAAGGCCGGGCAGGGCACCCCTGCCATCCTGCCAGTGAAGTTTACGGGTCTCGGAATGAGTGTGGCCAAGGGGCAAAGGGGAGGAGGGAGAGGGGGAGGTGGGGTTGCCTGAGAGTGCCCGCCCCAGGACAGCAGCCCGTAGCTCAGCCCCAAGAGCCCGGCACCGAGCTTCGAGCTGCGTGGCCCCGAAGAGGGGCTCAGTCACCTAATGTGATGAGGGGACGGCAGAGCAAAGGCTTGTCTGACAGTGACCGTCGTGTGTAGTGGAGAGGACGTGGCCAGAGATCTGGTTTCAGGGCAGGGATGAGGGGGGATTCCAGTCAGATCTTTTGCATCCCAGCAACCCTCCCCTTGACACCTTTGGGGCAGTGGCAGGGGATGACCATGGATGACCTCATGAGAACACTGTGGGTGTCAGGGACTCAGGGAGGCCCCGCAGGGCTTGAACATGCTTATGTTTCTCATTTGTAAAGGGAGGGCAGTCATCCGGTGGCTTCTTGTGGCCTCGGTGATGAAGGCCACATCAGAGCCAGGGGGAAAGGATATGAGAGAAAAAGATTCATTTGAATTATTGTCTTTTTCCTGGAGTGGAGAGATGTGGTACTCCCCAAAACTTCCTTTCTAGGCTGGGCACAGTGGCTCACGCCTGTAAAACCAGCACTTTGGGAAGCGGAGGCTGGTGGATCGCCTGAGGTCAGGAGTTTGAGACCAACCTGACCAACATGGTGAAACCCTGTTGCTACTACATACAAAAAAAATTAGCAGGGTGTGGTGATTGGCGCCCATAATCCCAGCTACTGGGGAGGCTAAGGCAGGAGAATCACTTGAACCAGGGAGACCGAGGTTGCAGTGAGCCGAGACTGCGTCACTGAACTCCAGCCTGAGCGACAAAGTGGGACTCCGTCTCAAAAAACAAGAAGAAAAAGAAACTTCCTTTGTGGACAGTGAGGGCTATTTAAAAAAATTTTGGAATATGAAAGTAGTCACTGGTGTCTGGAAGCAGGAGCTGTGCAGAATTGTACAGTTGCGAAACCATGTCGCTGGCAGCTGGTGCTGGCGGTGGAGACTTCCCTGTGCGGTGCTCAGTGCAGCTGCACCCGTGGGGGAGGGAGCTCTTTCTCTGGCCCTGCAGTCACCTGAGGTTGTTACCATTATGAACGGCCGCTGGGACCCCCGCATGTGCATGTACTCCCCCAGAGTGTCCGGGGGCCCCAGCCAAGGGACACAGCTCAGGCAGCTGGGAACATGTGCAGGCTGATGAAGAGAACCGGATGAGGGCTTCACATGAGGAAGCATGTGGCCAGGTCCTCTCAGAACATCAGCCTCATCTTCCTGTCTCTGATCTATTTCAGCAACCACCCCATGTGTCTCTAGAACCCCAGTGTAGCGAGCTGGAGAGAGGACTGTCCTGAGGGCAGCAGGCCTGGTTGCAGCTGGCGTGGGGGTCTCAGAATGGAGCCCTCAGCCCTGAGGAAAGCTGGCTCGGAGCAGGAGGAGGGCTTTGAGGGGCTGCCCAGAAGGGTCACTGACCTGGGGATGGTCTCCAATCTCCGGCGCAGCAACAGCAGCCTCTTCAAGAGCTGGAGGCTACAGTGCCCCTTCGGCAACAATGACAAGGTAGGCTTTCTGCTGGTCAGCCTGCAGTTGGCACGTGGCCACGGAGGTCACCGTTGGGCAGGTCATAGCTTGAGGCTGTGACGACGGGGGTGGGAAAGGGTCTGCTGACCTTGGGGGCTCCTGCCCAACCATACCTTTGGGAGAACAGAACTGGGGAGGGTGATGCGTGTCTCGTCTTCTGTGGGTTGCATGACCATTTCCCATGGTTGGTCTGATTGGGAAATCACCGGGTTAACTCAAAAATGTTGCGCTAGAGTCCTGGAAATCTGTTACCCGTGCTTACCTTGTTGCATAATGATTTCACATCCTTTATCCGATTGGGAGGGCCTGGGCCTGGGCTAGCTTTCCCCAAAGCCCTGGATACAAAGACACAAGTATGTTGAAAGCACATGGCATCTTGCAGTCCCCTTGCCAGGCAGGCAGGAGGGTGGCTGCCCTTTTTCCGATGGTGCAAGATCCAGGTCCCCAGATCCCCAGCCTCCACGTTTTCCACCACACCATGTTGTTCCCAAGGAAGGTGGTGGTGCTGTAGAAACTGTAAAGTGCGCGCACATTCAAAATGGTCCCAAGAGGAAATGATTTCTTAGATTCATTCCTCCCTCCTGAATCCCCACCGGAGAGTCTTGGCAAGGTGCTTCTAATCTTTGGCTCAGGGTCGCGCAGGCTTCCTTCCTTCAAGCAAATAGTGTGAAAGCTCCTCAAGGAGCTCAGATGTGTCTCCAGGGGGCTGGGTGTGCTCTTTCGAATGTTGGAAGATCTCAGTGTGCTGTCTTTACCTTCAGCAAGAAAGCCTCAGTTCGTGGATTCCTGAAAACATCAAGAAGAAAGAATGCGTGTATTTTGTGGAAAGTTCCAAACTGTCTGATGCTGGGTAAGTGACGTGATTTGTGTGTAAGACCTCTGACTTCTTCCTTCCGATCCCACATGGAGTAGCTGATCAGGCCAAGACCCCTCAGGGCCTCAGTGAAGGGTCACTGGAGATACCTCTGTCTCCATACGAGGCTTAGAGTCCACAGAGCATTTCCACCTAACCCTTGCAAGCCTCCTGTCGGGGACAGTTGACCCTCATCCTGCCTCGCAGGTGCAGGGACCAAAGTGCAGAGTTTAGGTGACTTGTTCAGGGTCATAAGGGCACTGTCGCGCGGCGAGGCCCAGTGGTGTGAACACAGATGCATCCTCTAATCCTCTCATTTCCACACCTGCCCCCACCCCAAGAGAGAGAGTCCCAGGGTCCAGGAACTGGAAGGGCCTTAGGGAGAGTCCATGGCCAGAAGACTGCCCCCCTGCACAGCTTGCCAAAGCCAGAGGCCCGACTTGCCCCCAGGCCCCACAGAGCCCCCTTTGCCCCTCCTCCCCACAGAGCCCACGACTCAGGTGTGGCCAAGACCCCCGCCCAGGCAACATGGCCACTGTCTCTGAGTGGCTGGATATGGCCCTCCGGAGCCGATGGTGCTCCCCGCAGTTGGCGCCCCTTTAGGCACGGACAGAGTGTTGATTCATGTTTGTGTGCCCTCCCCGAGCAACACCCATTTCATGCTCTTCCACAAATGGGCCACACGCTTCCTCCTTTTACTCCATTGCCTGGTGAGCTCCTACTTATCCCTCAAGGCCTATTGCAGATGCTGCCTCTGCCGTGCAGCCTTCCGTGACTATACAACCTCTACCAGGAAGTGAGCTTCCCTCCTACCGCACCGTGTGTTTCTCTTTGATCCCAGCTGTCGTGCTGTAACTGTGTGGCTTTGTGTTCATCTTTCTTGCTAGCTGCTGAGCTTCTGGGGGGCTGGGACGAAAGCAGAGTGTTGTGTTAATTCCCAGAGAGTGGCCTTCAGCTCATATTTACTGAATATGGGGAGGGAGAAGCATCCTGTGCTTGGGAAATAGAAGAAGACTGTGTTGCCCCAGGGTACCTCTAGTGTACTCGGTACATCATCAGAGTTTCACGGTCACCAATACAACAGCTGTCCCTCCGCATCCCTGGGGAATTGTTCCCGGACACCCACGGACACCAAAATCCCATATCTCGTATCAGTCCCAAAATCTCATATCAAGTCACTGATATGAGATGGTGTGGTATTTGCATATAAACTATGTACATCCTTCAGCATACTTTAAATCATCTCTAGATTACTTATAATACCTGATACAATGTAGATGTTATAAAAATAGTTATACTGCATTTAAAAAATTTGTATTTTTGGGCCGGGCGCGGTGGCTCACGCCTGTAATCCCAGCACTTTGGGAGGCCGAGGCAGGTGATCCACCCGCCTCGGCCTCCCAAAGTGCTGGGATTACAGGCGTGAGCCACTGCATCTGGCTATGTTATTTTTAATTGTTTTTTTTTTCCTGAATATTTTTAGTCTGCGTTTGGCTGAATCTGCAGATGCAAAACTCGCGGCCATGGAGGGCTGGATGTAGAGACAGTGATGAAGAGCCCCATGTGGAAGGAGCGGGGTCTGTAGAGCAGTGGTACTCCAGCCTCGGAGCTCACCCTTGTTACTGGAAAGGGGTCCCGATCCAGACCCCAAGGGCGGGTTCTTGGATCTCACACGAGAAAGTATTTGGAGCGAGTCCACAGAGTAAAGTGAAAGCAAGTTATTAACAATGTAAAGGAATAAAAGAATGGCTTCTCCATAGGCAGAGCAGCCCTGAGGGCTGCTGCTTGGCTATTTTTTTTTTTTTTTTTTGAGACGGGGTCTCGCTCTGTCGCCCAGGCTGGAGTGCAATGGCATGATCTTGGCTCGCTGCAACCTTCGTCTCCCAGGTTCATGCGATTCACCATGTTGGCCAGGCTGGTCTGGAACTCCTGACCTCAGGTGATCCACCAGCCTTGGCCTCCCAAAGTGCTGGGATTTCAGGCATAAGCCACCGTGCTTGGCTGGTTGGCTATTTTTATGGTAGTTTTGGATCATGTGCTTAACAAGGGTGGATTATTCATGAGTTTTATGGGAAAGGAGCGGGGATTTCCCAGAACTGATTTCCTCTTTCTTTCAGACCATACAGGGTATTTCTGATGTTGCCATGGCATCTGCCAACTGTCATGGTGCTGGTGGGAGTGTCTCTTACATGTTAATATGTTATAATTAGCGTGTAATGGGCAGCGAGGATAACCAGAGCCCACTTTCGTCGCCATCTTGGTTTTGGTGGGTTTTACCCAGTGTCTTGCACCCTGTTTTATCAGCAGGGTCTTTGTGACCTGTGTCTTCTGCTGACCTCTTGTCTCATCCTGTGACTTAGAATGCCTTAACCGTCTGGGAAGGCAGCCCAGCAGGTTTCAGCCTCATTTCACCCAGCGCCTATTCAAGATGGGACTCACTCTGGTTTGAACGCCGCTGACACCCTGACCTGCTGTGTCCTGAGAAGCCTAGGTGAGGCCCCGTGGGTCTGGGGCCTCTGCCAGTCGGCTCTGCGTGCTTCTCACATGGAAGTGGAAACCCTTGGGGCAGCAGGGCCCAGAGAGGAAGGGGTGCTGACCTGGATCAGATGTAAGCAGGACAGACTTGCTTCTGGAGGTCCCCAAAGCCATCCCCCATGCTCAGGGGTTTGCTAGGACTCACAGCTGTGCACACAGCTAAGGTTTATCATGGTGAAGGCCTACGTGATGGGCTTGGCAAGGGAGAAAGACACAGGCCGAGTCTGGAGAATCTGAGGGCAGGCTGCTGCGGCTCTCCTGTGCAGGCGCCATGCATGCTCCTTCCTCTAGCCGAGAAGCACGTGGCCACCTGCAAAGCCCATTCGAGGCTCAGAGCCCAGGGCGTGCATCCTGCGCTGGCCACGTGGGCCCCTCTGCATGGCAACCACCCAAATCCCAGACTCCCAGCAGGAAAGCAGCTGTTCAGCACAAACCCATTGCAGGAACAGTCCAGGCCCGGCAAAGCACTCCTAGCAGTCAGGGGACGGAGAGACGCTCCAAAAGCCCCGTTCCCAGACACCACCTTGAAAGCAGGCCCCTCTGAGAAGGCAACCTGAGATCTGCTGCACCGAGTCTGTCCCGCACAGAAGCCGCTCTCATCTCACCAACCACGGTGGTCACTGCAGCAGGATGGGAAGAGGGACCAGGTGTGTTCCTGGCTGTTCCTTCCTGAGGAGTGGATGGAATGTCCCTCCTTCTTGTGGAAAGACCAGGGCGGAACGAGTGGTGAGCATCGTCTGCCACAAACACAGCTTTTCAAGCAGATTTATTTATACCACTTACATGTTTCCATTAAGCATGGTAGGGTCTTCCTACCCCACTCGTCCAGACCTGGAGCCCCTCGACACCCGCCCGGGTAATCCCACTGCTTAGCCCCACGTCCTGGTAACCCTCCTCAGCTCTGCACAGACTCGTCTCATTTCCGTGTCTGCTGTGGCCACCCTGGTCCAGACCTTTGTGCTCACATTTTGCCACCATGGATCTCATGACCTTGGGCAGATGACTTCTCTTCCCTGGGCCACCAATCCTCATCTGTGAGCGCAGAGACTGGAGGGGATGCCTCAGAATTCACGCGCACATGCGGTGGGGGTGGGGAGGCAGGGAGCCCCCCTTGGGTGGCAGGAAGGAGCCCAGGTTGGAGAGAATACACCTCCAAGAGCTCTCATTTCCCGTGGGGTGCCGGGGGTGGTGTCCCGTTTACGCCTATCTGGGCCGAGTTCCGAGCGAGCTCTCCGGCGATGTAATTTCTGGATCAGTGTCCGCAATGCAGTTTCCAGCATCACATCAGGCTTGCAAACGCCATGCAGGTTCAAGTTCCAATCTCATCAGAGGTGATCGTTCAAGGACAAGAGGGACAGGAGGTAGCTTGTGATAGGCTGTTAGGAACATACAAGGACATTTGGGGCAGCATTGGAGCAAGACGGGAGAGCTCAGGTCCTTGTCTAGGGAACTCCTTTCCCCACCTCCGACCCAGGTCTCTCATCCATAAACAGTGGAGGTCACATTGTGTCCGGAGTTGGTTCCTTCCCGGGGGTCTTGGTCTCGCTGACTTCAAGAGTGAAGCCGGGGACCTTCGCGGTGAGTGTCACAGCTCTTGAAGATGGCAGGGACCCAAAGAGTGAGCAGCAGCAAGATATATTGTGAAGAGCGAAAGAACAAAGACTCCTCAGCGTGAAAGGGGACCCGAGCAGTTTGCCGCTGCTGGCTGGAGGGGTGGCCAGCTTTTATTCCCTTATTTGTCCCCGCCCGTGTCCTGCTGATTGGTCCATTTTACAGAGCGCTGATTGGTCCATTTTACAGAGCACTGCTTGGTCCATTTTACAGTGTGCTGATTGGTCCATTTTACAGAGCACTGCTTGGTCCATTTTACAGTGTGCTGATTGGTCCATTTTACAGAGCATGGCTTGGTCCATTTTACAGTGTGCGGATTGGTCCATTTTACAGAGCACCAATTGGTCCATTTTATGGTGTGCTGATTGGCGCATTTTACAATCCTCTTGTAAGACAGAAAAGTTCTCCAAGTCCGCACCCAACCCAGAAGTCTAGCTGGCTTCACCTCTCAACATCAGGTGCTCGCAAGATCCCTGCAAGTCTGAAGTGCCTTGAGCGTGACCTTAGGGGTTTGTACGGATTTGGATTTGTAGGGTGCACATCCGGGAGGAATTATTTTTTCCATTTTAATGATTGAGAAACTGAGTGTAGAAACATCCGAGATCACACAGTCAATACGTGGCGGGGAAACCTGTTTCCTTTCTCACTGCTCAGTGGTCTTTCCCCTGTGCCATCTGGTTCAGGTTTCATCTGGTTTTAGAGTTTTTTTGTTTGTTTTTTTTTAATTCCCTTATTTGTCCCCGCCCATGTCCTGCTGATTGGTCCATTTTACAGAGCGCTGATTGGTCCATTTTACAGAGCACTGATTGGTCCATTTTTTTCCTGTCTCATCTGTGTATATATATACACATATATATGTATATATATATATATTTTTTTTGAGACGGAGTCTTGCTCTGTCACCCAGGCTGGAGTGCAATGGCCTGATCTTGGCTCACTGCAACCTCCACCTCCCGGGCTCAAGCGATTCTCCTGCCTCAGCCTCCTGAGTAGCGGGGACTACAGCTGTGCACCATCACACCTGGCTAATTTTTGTATTTTTAGTAGAGACAGGGTTTCACCATATTAGCCAGGCTGGTCTCGAACTCTTGATGTTGTGACCCGCCCACCTCAGCCTCCCAAAGTGCTGGGATTACAGGCATGAGGCACCATGCCCAGCCTCATCTGAACTTTTCTAGGTTATTTGTTACCAGCAAAAAATTGGAATCTAAAAATATGGTGGATTTCCAATTAAACAAGTTACAAAGAACACATAAATTTATCTCTTCTTGCCCTGAAACACCAATGAATTGCAGTAAAGCAAAAAAAGACTTCAACCCACAAAGAAAAAAGAGGGAAGTTAGCAGTTGAAGAAAGAGATTGCCGCATTCTTGCCAGAGGAAGGGGAGGAGGCAGAGTAGCAGGTCCTGAAGGCTGGCGACTCGGGCAGCTCCTGCCGTCCCCAGGCGAGGGGAGGAGGTGGGAGACCTTGGGCGAGGTGCTAGCCCCATGTCGTCTGCTTGGAGCCTCCATTTGTGTGTGCTTTTAACTTTTTATTTTGAAATAATTACAGATGTACAGAAGTTCCAAAGATACTGCAGAAGGGCCCCACGGTTCCCCCTGTGGCTACATTCTGCATAACTGTAGTACAGTACCCAAGCCAGGAATTAAAGCTGGTAGAATGCATGTGTTTAGTTTTATGTCTTTTTTTTTTTTTTTTGAGATGGAGTTTTGCTCTGCTGCCCAGGCTGGAGTGCAGTGGCACCACACCAGCTCACTGCAATCTCCGCCTCCTGGGTTCAAGCAATTCTCCTGCCTCAGCCTCCTGAGTAGCTGGGACTACAGGTGAGCACTACCACGCCCAGCTAATGTTTATATTTTTAGTAGAGATGGGGTTTCACCATGTTGGTCAGGCTGGTCTCGGACTCGGGACCTCAACTGATCTGCCTGCCTCGGCCTCCCAAAGTGCTGGGATTACAGGTGTGAGCCACCGCTCTTGGCCTTATGTCATTTTTCACATGTGTATTTGTGTAACTACCACCGTGGTCAAGATACAGCACTGTCCATCTCCACCGAGCTCTTCCTGTACTTCCTCCGTATGGTCAGCTCACCTTCTCCCCCATCATCCCTGATCCCTGCAACCACCAGTCTTTCTTCATGCCTATCATTGTGTCATTTCAAGGATGTTACGTCAATGGAATCATACGCTACATGACCCGTGTCTTTTTCCCTCAGCACAGCGCACTTGATATCCATCCAAGTTGCTGCTTGTGTCAATATTATTATTATTATTATTTTTGATATGGAGTCTCATTCTCTGGAGTGCAATGGCACGATCTCAGCTTACTGCAACCTCCGCCTCCCGGCAACTGGGAGTAGCTGGGACTACAGGCATGCGCCACCACGCCTGGCTAATTTTTGTATTTTCAGTAGAGACAGGGCTTCACCATGTTGTCCAGGATGGCTTTGAACTCCTGACCTCAAATGATCCACTCGCCTTGGCCTCCCACAGTGCTGGGATTACAGGTGTGAGCTACCACACTCGGCGTTGTGTCAACATTATTTAACTGCTGAATATTCCTTTCCCTTTCGCCTTGCCTGTGTCATTACACTTCAAGTGAGATTTTGGTAGACGTCAAATAATTGGGTCCTATTTTTTTAAATACATTCTGTCAATCTGTTTTTTAATTGTCATATTTAGAAAATTTATATTTAGTGTAATTATTGGTATGTTAGGGCTTATGTCTGCCATTTTATTTTTTGTTTTCTGTTTGTTCTGTGTTTTTTTTTTGCCTTCTTGTGGGTTACTTGAACATTTTTTAGAATTCTATTTTGATTATTCATACTATTTTTGTTTTTTGGAGACAGAGTCTCACTCTGTTGCCCAGGCTGGAGTACAGTGGCACGATCTCGGCTCATTACACCCTCCACCTCGCTGGGCTCAGGTGATCCTCCCACCTCAGTCTCCTGAATAGCTGGGACTACAGACATGCACCACCATGCCCGGTTAATTTTTGTATTTTTGGTAGAGACAAGGTTTGGCCATGTTGGCCAGGCTGGTCTCAAGCTCCTGAGCTCAAGCAATCTGCCCACCTTGGCCTCCCAAAGTGTTCGGATTACAGGCGTGAGCCACTGCTTACACCATACTATTTTTGAGTGTATCTTCTTGTATCACTTTTTCTTAAAGGGGTTGCTCTAGATAGTATATTATATAATACAGCTTATCACAATCTGCTGATGTTGACATTTTACCAGTTTGAGTGAAATATAGAAACATTATCTCCTTTTACATCTCTGTCCCCTTCTTAATCTATAATATAATTGCTTGAAATATTTCTTCTACATATATTGAAATGAGGGCCGGGCATGGTGGCTTAAGCCTGTAATCCCAGCACTTTGGGAAGCTGAGGTGGGCGGATCACGAGGTCAGGAGATGGAGACCATCCTGGCTAACACGGTGAAACCCCGTCTCTACTAAAAATACAAAAAAAAAAAAAAAAAGCCAGATGTGGTGATGGCCGCCTGTGGTCGCAGCTACTTGGGAGGTTGAGGTGGGAGAGTGGCGTGAACCTGGGAGGCGGAGCTTGCAGTGAGCAAAGATCGGCGCCACTGCACTCTAGCCTGGGTGACAGAGCGAGATTCCATTTCAAGAAAAAAAAAAAAGAAAGAAAGAAAACCATGTCAGATAGTGTTATAATTTTTGCTTCAGCCATCAAACATCAGTTATGAAATTCAAGGGGTTACTCTTTTTGTTATTCTTTCTTCCTTTCAGATATTTCAAAATTCCTTTTCTTGTTTCCTTTCTGTTTAGAGAATGTCCTTTAGCCATTCTTTTAGGGTGTGTCTGCTCGTGACAAATTCCCTAGCCTTCCTTCAATTAAGAAGGTCCAAACTTCCTGTCTTTTCTGAGGTGTTTTTTTTGTTTTTTTTGAGGAGTCTCCCACTGTCTCCCAGGCTGGAGTGCAGTGGCACCATCTGGGCTCACTGCAACTTCCATCTCCTGGGTTCAAGCGAGTCTCCTGCCTCAGCGTCCCGAGTGGCTGGGGTTACAGGCTGCTGCCACCATGCCCAGCTGATTTTTTAGATTTTAGTAGAGACAGGGTTTCACCATGTTGGCCATGTTGGTCTCGAACTCCTGACCTTGTGATCCACCTGCCTCAGCTTCCCAAAGGGCTGGGATTATAGGCGTGAGCCACTGCGCCTCGCCGCTTTTAAAAGTTTTTATTTGTTTTTAGTTTTTGGAAGTTTAACTGTTGTGTGTCTTGGCATGTATCTCTTTGGATTTATCCTGTCTGGTGTTCACTCAGATTGTAGCGTGTGTAGGTTTATGTCTTTTTTGTCAAATATGGGAAATTTTGGCCATGACTTCTTTACATACATTTTCAGGATCACTGTCTTTTTCTTTTCCTTCTGGAACTCTGAGCATGAATGTATGATCTTTTGTTATAGTGCTGCAGGTCCCAGAGGTTTTGTTTACTTGTGTATTTTTTCTTTGTTGTTGTTTGTTTGTTTTCTCTCTGTTGTTCTTATTGGGCAATTTCTACTGTTATATCTTCCTGCTCCTGGGTTCTTTCCTCTGTCTCCTCCATCCTGCTGTTAGGTCCATCCTTTGAGTTTTTTATTTCAGTTACTGCATTTTTCAGCTCTAAAGTTTGCATTTGGTATATCTTCTCTTTTTTTACTGGAAATTTATATTTTTTCATTTGTTTTGAGCATGTTCATGATTGCTTGTTGAAGCATTTCTAATGTGGCTGCTTTAAAATCATTTTCAGATAATTCTAACATCTGTGTCATCTTGGCGTTGGTGGCTGTTAGCTGTCTTTTTTCATCCTGGTTGAGATTTTCCTGTCTCTTGTTAAAACTAGTGATGTTTGATTGAAACCTTGATAGTTTAGATTTTATGTTAAGAGACTCAAGATCTTGAGTTTTAGCTGGTCCTCTTGACATGTCTATGGTGAAGGAAGGAGGTCCCCCCATCACTGCCCCACAAAGGGTGAAGTCTAAGCCCCCCTGTAGCCTCCACTGATCCACTGACACTTCCTGGGGAGGCTTCTTGTTACTGCTGAGGGTGAGAAGAGCTCCAGCCCACCATTAGGCCTTTGCTGCCTCCCCCATGGCTGGAAGGGCAGGTGCTTTGTTTTTGCTGGGTGGGGGAAGGTTGCGGCTTTCCACTGGGCCTCCTCTGATGCCTTCACAGGGAGCAGGAAGGGCACCACACTCCCTGGGTGACTGGTGCTGTGTCTTTGCAGGAAGGTGGTGTGTCAGTGTGGCTACACGCATGAGCAGCACTTGGAGGAGGCTACCAAGCCCCACACCTTCCAGGGCACACAGTGGGACCCAA
Organism: Homo sapiens; assembly: GCF_000001405.40. Lineage (NCBI taxonomy): Eukaryota > Metazoa > Chordata > Mammalia > Primates > Hominidae > Homo > Homo sapiens. The sequence goes on from NC_000021.9 coordinate 44,364,206, forward strand.
AGAAACATGTCCAGGAGATGCCAACCGATGCCTTTGGCGACATCGTCTTCACGGGCCTGAGCCAGAAGGTGAAAAAGGTTGGTTTCCATCACTCTCGCTCTGAACTGTAGGTGGAGCTGCATGGCCCCACAGTGACACGCGGTGGTCGGCATTTCCTGGGGCAAGAGCAGGAGGCTGGCAAAGCTCCAGGGTGCATAGAGCCCACTGCACAGCAAGGGAAGCGGCGGGGAGGGGCTCTGCAAGGCAAGCAAGACATGCACCCCACTCTCAGAGTGCTTGGCCATCTGCAAAGCAGGGTGGGGCACAGTGAGCTTTCTAGGAAGGTGCAAGCTGGGAGTGGTGAGTGAATTCTGGCTGGGTGTCCTTGGGCGGCATTTGTCAGGGCCTGGGAGGGAGTAGGGAGGAAGGAGAGGGATGCAGGACACAGATGCGCTCAGGGTGTGCTGGGAGAATGGTAGGAAGGGTGTGGGGAGGGAGGGAAAAGCTGGGGGAAGGGGCCCAGGATAGCAGGGAGGCCCATGTGGCAAGTCTGGAAGCAAACGCGAGAGTCCTTGCGAGGAGTCTGGGCCAGGCATGGCGGGATCCAGGCTGAGCCTGGCCTGCAGGAGAGCGCTGTGAGGGTGCAGACTGCTGGAGGGAGGCCCAGGTGCAGGGTTAGGTTCTCTCGTGCACAACCTCACTGAGGTCCCTGGACCAGCCATCTCTGACCAATTCTCAGGCCCCATCCCAGGCCTGTGGAGTCAGAGGCTCAGCCCCTTGCATGTTGACCAGCCTTCTGGAGGGTTCTGAGACTCGCGTGTTGACCAGCCTTTTGGAGGGTTCTGAGACTCGCGTGTTGACCAGCCTTCTGGAGGGTTCTGAGACTCGCGTGTTGACCAGCCTTCTGGAGGGTTCTGAGACTTGTGTGTTGACCAGCCTTCTGGAGGTTCTGAGACTTGCGTGTTGACCAGCCTTCTGGAGGGTTCTGAGACTTGCATGTTGACCAGCCTTCTGGAGGGTTCTGAGACTTGAGTGTTGACCAGCCTTCTGGAGGGTTCTGAGACAGTGATTGGGTGCCACTGTCCTGGAGGTGGGGAGGGTGGCACTGATCTCTGTGCTGGCGTCTGGAGCCCTGAACTTGGTACCTGTCGAGTGTGACCTGTCCACTCAATGCATGGTGTTGCCATGAGGTGGCCAAAGAGGTTGAGTGGGGCAGGTCCCGGAGACGGGGTCATGTGGCCCCAGGCTTCCTGGCTGGCACAGCCCCTGAGCCACCCTGTGTCACCATGACACGTGGGTGTTCTCCAGGCCCCTGGACCCCTCTGTCGCTGTGGTCACGGGGACAGTCCTGTTGTTGGGTTTCAGATGAGGGATTGAGGTATGGGGAGGCCCTACCTACCCTTTGTCTGATGCCACCGTGGCCGTGGCAGTGGTGGGTTTGAATCCAGCTGTGTCTGAGCCTGGGGTCTGGCTGCATCCCTCCCCCAACCCCCCGGCTTCTCCCAGCCCCCTCCCTGCAGCTGCCGACAGGGGCCGGTGGTGTGAGGGAGAAATGCCTGTGGCCTGACAGTGAGGGACGCCAGGGACACAGACCCTGTACTGCAGCAGGTCTGCCTCGAAGCCCGGGAGCGTCCACCATGCAGGCCACAGCCCTGCTCCTCCCAGGGAGACCAGCACCTCCAGATGCCTGGTGGACCCGGTGGGACCCACGTTCTGATGGTGACAGGCACTGTGCTTGTGGGTTAACTGGACCTTCTTTAGTGACAATGCCACCACATGGTTGTTTTGAGGGCACCTAATGGCATTTCTGGATTTCACCCATCACCTTTGTGTCTCTGCTAGGCCAATCCCGGCGGAGATTGCAGACCCCGCTGGGTCTCTTCAGACACAGCCCGCCTAGCGGAACAGGGAAAGTCCGCTGTGTACTTGGGAGGGTCTCCTGGAGGACGGGGGGCCAGAGTGACGACAGAACCTGGGAGAGCCGTGTTCAGACGGGAGGCAGAGGAAGCTGGGCCCACTGAGTCCCCAGGACGGGCCAGGGCACAGGGGCCACAGAGCAGAGGGGATAGGGCAGAGGGGACAGGAGAGGGGACAGGAGAGGGGACAGGAGAGGGGACAGGAGAGGGGACAGGAGAGGGGGCAGTGCTGGGTGCACAAGGACAGAAGGGCAGAGACCCCGGTGCAGGAGCTGATTAGACCCGGGGGAGGCAGGGCCCAGGCGCTACGGCGGGAATTGGAGTCTGTGCTGGCGCATGTTTGGGAGGCGCTCCCAAAATCGAGAGGAAGAGGAAAAAGTGGGTGCCGTGGGGGCACGAGGGCTGGGGGAGGTTTGCTGAGGGCGATCCTGGTCCCCAAAGGATGGCCTGATGCTCCTGGCTTGGGCCTCTCTGCCTCCCTCTTCTCTCGTGATCTGTGCCCTGCCCACATGGGGACCCCTTTTCTGGGTCTGAGCCGGAAAGGTGTGCGGTGTCTGCCGCCCGCTGGGGCCTCTCTGCATGGCCTGTGTGGGTCGGTGCTGTCCCTGACCACTGACACACAGGTTCCCTCCGCCGTTTTCCCTTTCCCGCAGTACGTCCGAGTCTCCCAGGACACGCCCTCCAGCGTGATCTACCACCTCATGACCCAGCACTGGGGGCTGGACGTCCCCAATCTCTTGATCTCGGTGACCGGGGGGGCCAAGAACTTCAACATGAAGCCGCGGCTGAAGAGCATTTTCCGCAGAGGCCTGGTCAAGGTGGCTCAGACCACAGGTAACTCGGAGGCTGGAGGGACACGAGGCCCCGGCGGGTGGGGTGGGCTGTGGAGGCAGTGCTGGGGCAATCAGGGCCATCAGGACCCAAAAAGTCCCTGGGAGCCGCCGAGGCTGTGCCCCAGCCTGAGTCGGACCCATGCACCTCTCACCTGGGCACAGCTGCTCCCTGACGCCCGATGCTCCCACTGGCTTGCCTGTGGGCTGGAGATGGCTCAGTGCATGGCCCTGCTGGTGCCCAGGGCCAAGCAGAGATGAGAACCTTGGTGGCCTGGGAACCTTGGTGGCCTGAGAACCTTGGTGGCCTGGGAACCTCGGTGGCCTGAGAACCTTGGTGGCCTGGGAATCTTGGTGGCCTGAGAACCTCGGTGGCCTGGGTGCACGGCTGGGGCCAGCACTGCAGGCCATTTGTAGGGGGTCAGCGAGAGTTCCCAGTCATCAAGCTTTCCATTATCGTGTTTTTCCATCAAAATCAGGGAAGGAGCATTATTATTTCCATCTCTTCACTTAAGGCAACTGCCTGGTTGGAGTCAAATCACCTCCCAAGGTTGCACCACTGGTGAGAGCCAGGCAGGGACCCAGTCCTGGTGGATGGTGTGAGATCCCAGGTGCCGTGACCTGGTGCCCCGCCCCACCCTAATTCCATGGGGAGGGGGCCCCAAGTCCTCAAGGCTCCCTGGGCCTCCCTGGAGGGGACTGTGGATGAATAGTGAGGCCCTGAGGTGACTACTTGGCAATGTTGCGTCCGGATGGGCCTAGAGTCACCCTGCTCTTCCTGGGGTCTGGGGTCTGGTCTTTGCCTCGCAGTGGAGTCGTAACTGAGCCTGACTTGGCCTGCATGGCTCACAGAGTCCTCAGTTTCATTGTCTGCCTGGTGAGCGTGAGGCACGGCTGCATCTTTTGACCTGTGAGTCCCACAGCCCTGCTTGTAAAATGACCAGACCTTTTCTCAGCCTGGTCACATGGGACTGGGTTTAACGCAGGTCACCATCCCACAGGCTCTTTCTGAAGCTTTGCTGCCTCAAATAATGCCATGGATTTGTTCAGGTCTCACCTGCTCCAGGTCTTGATGTTGCATTTTTTTAGCTTTCAATATCCGTGTCCTTGTTGTCCGCTTCCTGGCCCAAAGCCAGTACCACCTTTTCAATTGTTATCTTTCTATCTATCTATCTCCATCCTTCCATCCATCCATCTATTTATTTTTGAGACAGGGTCTCAGTCTGTTCCCCAGGCTGGAGTGCAGTAGCACGATCTCAGCTCATTGCAGCCTCGACCTCTTGGGCTCAGGTGATACTCCTGCCTCCGCCTCCTGAGTTGCTGGGACTAGAGGCGTATGCCACCATGCCAGGCTAATTTTTGTAGAGACAAGGTCTATGTTGTCCAGGCTGGTCTTGAACTCCTGGGCTCAAGTAATCTTCCTGCCTTGGCCTCCCAAAGTGCTGGGATAACAGGCGTGAGCCACCATGCCTGGCTGATTGGCTGTTTTTTTTATTTTTTTGTTTTTTTTTTGGAGTTGGAGTCTTGCTCTGTCACCCAGGCTGGAGTGCAGTGGTGGTGGCGCTATCTCAGCTCACTGCAACCTCTGCCTCCTGAGTTCAAGCAATTCTCCTGCCTCAGCCTCCTGAGTAGCTGGGACTGCAGGCGTGTGCTACCATGCCTGGCTAATTTTTGTATTTTTAGTAGAGACGGGGTTTCACCATGTTGGCCAGGCTGGTCTCGAACTCCTGACCTCAGGTGATCTGCCCGCCTCGGCCTCCCAAAGTGCTGGGATTACAGGCGTGAGCCACCGTGCCCGGCCGGAGGTGTGTTTCTTACAGGGGTGGCTGCAAACCACCAGCAGCAGATGGCAGGTGGGAGGTGAGGGGCATCCTTCCTAGGGACCAGGCTGAGTGTTGGGAGCGAGGAAGCACTCTGCCGCACCTGGGTCCTGAAAGCTGGGAGGAAGAGGGAAAGCAAAATACAAGAATGCAGAGAGGTGCTGAGAACCGCGATCCTGAGACTGGGGCCTGAGGAGGCGGCAGGGACCGGGAGAGGGGCGGGGCCTGCTCCTGTTCCCACCCCACCTGAGCGCGTGGGAACCTCGGTTCCTTACACCTGATGCTGGTTTGAAAGCCCCTGAGTGAGGAGCTCTGCGTTGTTGGGGGCGGGGCATCGCTGAGCCTAGAAGGGCTCAGGCGTCAGGCTCCTGGGTGTCAGGTGCCCCTCAGTGCTGTGGGGCCTGCCCACCCGTGCTCCTTCCCCAGGGGCCTGGATCATCACAGGGGGGTCCCACACCGGCGTCATGAAGCAGGTAGGCGAGGCGGTGCGGGACTTCAGCCTGAGCAGCAGCTACAAGGAAGGCGAGCTCATCACCATCGGAGTCGCCACCTGGGGCACTGTCCACCGCCGCGAGGGCCTGATCCATCCCACGGTGAGTGCGGCCCCCTAGGGAGGGGAGCCTAAGACCAGGGGTGTGGGTGAGGTCTGACTGGGCGCTGTGGGGAGCAGGTGGAGTGTACGGGGGCCGGGGTGTGGGTGACGTCTGACCGGGCGCTGTGGGGAGCAGGCGGAGTGTGCGGGGGCCGGGGTGTGGGTGACGTCTGACCGGGTGCTGCGGGGAGCAGGTGGAGTGTGCGGGGGCCGGGGTGTGGGTGAGTTCTGACCGGGTGCTGCGGGGAGCAGGTGGAGTGTGCGGGGGAGGCGGGGTGTGGGTGACGTCTGACCGGGTGCTGCGGGGAGCAGGTGGAGTGTGCGGGGGAGGCGGGGTGTGGGTGACGTCTGACCGGGTGCTGCGGCGAGCAGGTGGAGTGTGCGGGGGCCGGGGTGTGGGTGAGTTCTGACCGGGTGCTGCGGGGAGCAGGTGGAGTGTGCGGGGGAGGCGGGGTGTGGGTGACGTCTGACCGGGTGCTGCGGGGAGCAGGTGGAGTGTGCGGGGGAGGCGGGGTGTGGGTGACGTCTGACCGGGTGCTGCGGGGAGCAGGTGGAGTGTGCGGGGGCCGGGGTGTGGGTGAGTTCTGACCGGGTGCTGCGGGGAGCAGGTGGAGTGTGCGGGGGAGGCGGGGTGTGGGTGACGTCTGACCGGGTGCTGTGAGGAGCAGGTGGAGTGTGCGGGGGAGGCGGGCACACTCAGGAGATTGGGTGCAACTCCCGGCCCACCCCTGACCCAGGTGACCCCGGACAAACGGCTAACTTGGCTGGACTCTGGTATCTCCCTCAAGGTTGTAAGAGGGGTCCACGTGACAGTCACTCGCTGCGAGGGTTCCGCTAACAGAGCAGAGGGAGGGGGCGTGGCCAGCAGGCAGCTGGGTGGGGCTGAGCCAGGGCGATCCGACCCCGAACCGGAGCTTTTAGCACTTTGAGTCCCTGTACTCAGAGGTCTCCTGCAGCCGGGAATCCCACTGTGCTGTGGTCCCTGGCAGCCAGCACCCACCCCCAGCTTCTCCGTCAAGGTTGAGGACGGAGCACTCCTGCCTCTGATTAACTGGACGCAGGAGAAGCAGTTGCTTTAATCCGGAGCCTTGAGTTGGGACAGATAATGAGTCATTCAACCAGATTTTCCAAGGACACACTAACTTTGGTATGATGCGTGTGTGCCCCTGAATCCACGTGGTCAGGAAAGCCCAGGGAACACTGGCCTGTGACTCACTGAGCAGGTTCCCTTGTTACCCCGAGGGGTGATTTACTCCTCTGACAGTGACACGGACACTGTGCGTCCATTCCCCGGGCGGGCAGAGGACACTCCCAGATGCCCACGAGGGGCCCAGCAAGCACTGGCCAGCCCCAGCCCGGCCTTCGCCTTCCTTTGCGTCAGAATCATGAATGTGTCCGGCGGGGTCGGACTGGACCAGCTGTTGGGCTTTGTTTGCTCTTTTTACGAATTGAAAAACTGAAGCCAGGAGCGGCTGGGTGACGTCCCAGGTCACTCCTTACTTTCCTCCCCACGCTGAGTTCAGACGACTTCCCGTGACACCACTGTTGGTGGCGGAATGGGACTGTGGCTGCTTCCGCTCAGCCACGCTCCCTCTCTGTGGACGGCGGAGGGTGTGTGTCCCAGCCCGGCTGCCGCCCTCCCTTAGGTCTGTCTCCCGGGGCTGCTGTAACCCAGGCTCACAAACCTGGTGGCTTAAAGCAGCAGAAACTTAGTCTATCAGATCTGGAATCCGCGTCGATTGGCCATCATCCAGCCATCGGTGTTGGCGGGGCCACCTCCCTCTAGGGCCTAGGGGAAGAGCATTCCTTGCTGCCTCCAGCGTCTGGGTGCTGATGGCATTCCCTGGCCAGTGGCCACCTCCCTCCAGTCGCTGCCTCCGTGTCCCATGGCCGCCTCCCTCCAGTCTCTGCCTCCGTGTCCCGTGGCCGCCTCCCTCCAGTGTCTGCCTCCGTGTCCCGTGGCCGCCTCCCTCCAGTGTCTGCCTCCGTGTCCCGTGGCCGCCTCCCTCCAGTCTCTGCCTCCGTGTCCCGTGGCCGCCTCCCTCCAGTCTCTGCCTCCGTGTCCCGTGGCCGCCTCCCTCCAGTCTCTGCCTCCGTGTCCCGTGGCCGCCTCCCTCCAGTCTCTGCCTCCGTGTCCCGTGGCCGCCTCCCTCCAGTCTCTGCCTCCGTGTCCCGTGGCCGCCTCCCTCCAGTCTCTGCCTCCGTGTCCCGTGGCCTTCTCTGTGTGCCTGTGTCAAATCTCCCCCAAGAGTTCCGTAAGAACACTCGTGATGGCGTGTAGGTCCCACTAGGGTCATCTAGGGTGATGCCTTCATATCCAGATCTTTAACTGACATCTGCAAAGATGCTTTTCCAAACAAGGAAATGAGGAGCAGCACTTACCGGGTCCATGAGCAGGCCTTGATGTCTTTGGGTGGCCATGATTCAGCCAACTGCGGTCCTCCCTCTGACCTCAAAGATTTCTGTCCACTCCACAGGCAAAATATGTTCACACCATTGCCAGATCTTGGCTGGGTGTGGGGGCTCACACCTGTCATCCCAGCACATTGGGAGGCTGAGATGGGCGGATCACTTGAGGACAAAAGTTCAAGACCAGCTTGGCCAATATGGTGGAAACCCTGTCTTTACTAAAAATACAAAAATTAACTGGGCATAGTGGCAGGCGCCTGTAATCCCAGCTGAGGCAGAAGAATTGCTTGAACCCAGGAGCTGGAGGTTGCAGGGAACCAAGATCATGCCACTGCACTCCAGCCTGGGTGACAGAGCAAGACTCTGTCTAAACTAAACCAAACCAAACCAAACAAAATGATCCCCTCCAACTACAAACCTGTTACAGCAGAAACTCCAAGATCAAAATCTCATGTAAATATCATAAGCTTGGCCGAGTGCGGTGGCTCACACCTGTCATCCCAACACTTTGGGAGGCCAAGGCAGGCATATCACCTGAGGTCAGGAGCTTGAGACCAGCCTGGTCAACATGGAGAAACCCCGTCTCTACAAAAAATTAGCCGGGCATGGTGGTAGGCGACTGTAATCCCAGCTACTGGGAGGCCAAGGCAGGAGAATCGCTTGAACCTGGGAGGCGGAGGTTGCAGCGAGCCAAGGTTGTGCCACTGCACTCCAGCCCAGGTGACAGAGCGAGACACCGTCTCAAGCAAAACAAAACAAACAAACAAAAATATCATCAGCTCAAAAGTCCCAAATGTCATCATTTAAGTCAGGGACGCTGAAGACTCTGGGTCTGATCCATTCTGGGGCAGAATTTCTCTTCATATGTGCACCTGTGAGACCAGAAAACAAGTCACCTATCTCCAAAATACAAGGGAAGAGCAGGTGTAGCATCACAGCTGCAGACACTCTCATTCCCAATGGGGGAACACGGGAGGAACGAAGGCATCACCAGCCCCAGGCAATTCCAAAACCCGGCAGGCAGAATGCACTAGGTGATAAGACCGGGGAGACCCCTCTGTGGCTTGGGCACCCCCTACCCTGCTCTGTGTCCACGGCCCTGCCTTCAGGACGATCCTTTTCCCTGAAGGTTATAGCTTTTAGTCTGCTTGAAGATTTTAAGGAGTCTGACGACCTTTCATTTTATCCCGTCTCTGTCCCTTTCAGTCCAAATTTGCAGTGTTGTTGTTGATATAACATTTGTGAAAACCTTGCAGTCCTCCTTTGAATGCCATAGGAATTTCTGCCAGTAGACAAAAAGGGCTCTGCAGACCTTTCCTGTGATGCTGTCTCCACTCCTGGCTTCTGAGATGGTTGAGTGAATTGCAGTCTCCTTGCCTGGTCTCTTCATCACTAGCAGGAGGTTGTTTAGACACACCCTTGGCCCTCTCTCTTTTTTCTTTTTGTTTTTTTTTTGAGACAGTCTCACTCTGTTGCCCAGGCTGGAGTGCAGTGGTGCGATCTCAGCTCACTGCAACCTCCGCCTCCTGGGTTCAAGTGATTCTCCTGCCTCAGCCTCCTGAGTAGCTAGGTCTACAGGCACCCACCACCATGCCCAGCTAATTTTTGTATTTTTAGTAGAGACAGGGTTTCTCCATGTTGGCCAGGCTGGTCTCGAACTCCTGACCTCAAGTGATCCGCCCGCCTCGGCCCCCCAAAGTGCTGGGATTACAGGTGTGAGCCACTGCGCTTGGCCGTTGGCCTTCTCTTTAGAGTCTGCTTTTCGAACAGTGAATCTCTTTTCATTTTCTGCATTATATGCGACCTGCATTATATGCGACCTGCATTATATGCGACCTGCATTATATGCGACCTGCATTATATGCGACCTGCATTATATGCGACCCGGATAGGCTGAGAATTTCCCACATCATCAAGTCCTGGTTCCATTTTGTCTGTCAGTTTTTCCCTCAATTTCTCTCTTTCCTTTTGCATTTTGTGAGAAGCAGCAAGAAAAAAAAGCCAGGCCACAACTTGAACACTTTGCTTGGAGATCTCTGCGGCTAAATCTTCAAGTTCATCATTTACAGTTCTGCTCTCCACAAAACTGCACAGCACAATTCAGCCAGGCTTTCTGTCACTCTGCAGCAAAGTTGGCCTTCCCTCCAGTCTCCAGTACCACATTTCCCACTTCCTTCTGAGCCCTCACCAGAAGAAGCAACTGTGATGTTCATTTTTCTGCTAAAATTCTGTTCATGCCAGTATATGTATTCTCTCTCTCTCTCTTTTTTTTTTTTTGAGATGGAGCCTTGCTCTTTTGCCCAGGCTGGAGTGCAGTGGTGCGATCTTGGCTCACTGCAACCTCCACCTTCCGGGTTCAAGCAAATCTCCCACCTTAGCCTCCCGAGTAGCTGGGATTACAGGCATGTGCCACCATACCCAGCTAATTTTTGTATTTTTAGTACAGACGGGGTTTCACCATGTTGGCCAGGCTGGTCTCGAACTCCTGACCTCAACTGATCTGCCCACCTTGGCCTCCCAAAGTGCTGGGATTCCAGGCGTGAGCCACCGTGCCTGGCCCGTATATATATTTTCTAAGGCAGCGGTCCCCAGCCTTTTTGGCACCAGGAACTGGTTTCGTGGAAGAGAGTTTTTCCACAGATGGGGGCGGGGTGGTAAGCGGTTGGTTTGGGGATGATTCAAGCACGTTACGTTTATTGTGCACTTTATTTCTATTATTACATTGTAATATATAATGCAGTAATCATACAGCTCACCATAATGTAGGATCAGTGGGAGCCCTGAGCTTGTTTTCCTGCAGCTAGACGGTCCCATCATCTGGGGGTGATGGGGGACAGTGACAGATCATTAGGCATTAGATTTTCGTAAGGGGAGTACAACCTAGGTCCCTCGCATGCACAGTTCACAGTAAGGTTAGTATTCCCATGAGAATCTAATGCCGCGGATCTGACAGGAGGTGGAGCTCGGACAGTCACACACACGATGGGGAGCGGCTGTAAATAGGGATGAAGCTTCGCTCGTTCACCCACCACCCACCTCCTGCTGTGAGCAGCCCAGATCCTCACAGGCCACAGACCATTACCAGTCCATGGCCCAGGGGGTGGGGGACCCCTGCTCTAGGGCAACAAAGCCCTCTCTGCCCTGCTCCTCACTTCCTTCTGAGCCCTTACTGCGAGTTGTTTTTTTTCTGAGACAGGGTCTCACTGTTGCCCAGGCTGGAGTATGTTGGTGCGATCCTCAGCCTTGACCTCCCGGGCTCAAGTGATCTTCCCATCTCAGCCTCCCAAGTAGCTGGGACTACAGGTGTGCACCACCATGCCCGGCTAATTTTTTCATTTTTGTAGACATGAGATCCGCTATGTCGTCCAGGCTGGTCTCGAACTCCAGGGCTCAGGTGATCCTCCCGCCTTGGCCTCCCAAAGTGCTGGGATTCCAGGCGTGAGCCACCGCGCCCGTCTCCGCAAGGCCTTTAATACCACATTCCCACCAACATTCTCTTCAAGGACGTTGAGACGTTTTCCATTCATGGTGCTTCTAAATCCTCCCGTCGTCTCCCCATTGCCGGTTTCAATGCCACTTCCACATTTTTAGGTGTTTGTTGCAGCAGCAGCCCACTTCCTCACCCCAGACCTGTATCCGTTTCCTGTGGCTGCCGTAACAAATGGCCTCAAGCCTGAAACAGCAGCATTGTGGTCTCTCACGTGTCTGGAGGACAGAACTCTGAAGTCAGGGTCACACGTCTGTTTCCCCGCCTCCTCCACTCCTGGGGGGTCCGGCTTTCTCCACTTGTGGCTATGTCACTTGCCCCTGCCTCTGTGGTCCCTCGGCCTCCTCTCCTGTGTGTGTCCCCCACCACCTCTCTCCTGTAAGGACACCTGTGATGGTATTTTGGGCCCACTCGGATCATCCAAGTTAATCTCATGTTTCGATCACATGTGCAAAGTCGCTTTCTCCAATAAGGCCACGTCCACAGATTCCAGGGACTGGGACCTGGTCTCTGTGAGGGCCGGTGTTCAGCCTGCTCGCGTTAGAGAGGCAGAGCTTTCCAGAAGCAGTGTCTGACGCTTCCTGGCCATCCCAGGGCAGCTTCCCCGCCGAGTACATACTGGATGAGGATGGCCAAGGGAACCTGACCTGCCTAGACAGCAACCACTCTCACTTCATCCTCGTGGACGACGGGACCCACGGCCAGTACGGGGTGGAGATTCCTCTGAGGACCAGGCTGGAGAAGTTCATATCGGAGCAGACCAAGGAAAGAGGAGGTAGGGGAGCTTGCTTTCGAGGGTGATTGGGCAGAGAGCACAGTGGGCTGGTCAGAGTGTCAGGTACAGCTGGTCACGACCAGGACGTTCAACAGGCCTGGCGTTTGGCAGAGAGTGCAGTGGGCTGGTCAGAGTGTCAGGTACAGCTGGTCACAGGTCATTCGTGGCACTCGGCAGAGAGCGCGGTGAGCTGGTCAGACTGTCAGGTACAGCTGGTCACAACCAGGATGTTCATGGTACTCGGAACGTCCTCAGAACACACCTGGGTTTCTTTCCCGTGTCTCTTTATACTTTGTTCCAGGAGGGTCATCTTCTCTTGCCCATTTTAGCCAGTGGGAGGGCGGTCTGGGGGGCTGGCAGCTCACCTGTGTGCTCGCAGGTAATGGGCCAACCTACATTTTTTTTGGGACAGGGTCTGGAGCGCAGTGGTGTGATCTCAGCTCACTGTAGCCTCGAACTTCTGGGCTCAAGGGATCCTCCCATCACCCTCCCAAAGTGCTGGGATTACAAGCTTGAACCACTGTGCCTGGCCCTACAATTATTTTAAACCTTGATCATGGTCTGCTCTCAGGTTCAGAAATCAGAATGTACGATAGTCAAAACTTAGGATTTGATACCTTTTTCCTCATAGGTGGGATGGGATGGGTTTGAGGACGTCGGGAGGTCAAGTGCGGGGTTTTGCATATCACTTGAGGAGGGTTCAAAGAGGAGATGGTGAACGGGAGGTGTCTGACCTGTGGCTGGGTGGGCTGGGGTCCCTTGCAGGGTTCCTTGTGCATCGAACTCCCCTGGAGGGTTCCTCACCAGCTTGTGGGCCCCAGCCCCAGGGTCCAACTCAGCAGCTCCAGGTGGGCTGAGAACTTGCATTAGGAGCACGTTCCCTGGTGAGGGCGATGCTGCAGTTCAGGGACCAGGGACCACACTTTGAGAACCCTGCTTGACTAGTAGGAGCACGTTCCCTGGTGAGGACGATGCTGCAGTTCAGGGACCAGGGACCACACTTTGAGAACCTGCTTGACTAGTAGGAGCACGTTCCCTGGTGAGGGCGATGCTGCAGTTCAGGGACCACACTTTGAGAACCTGCTTGACTAGGACATCTGGGGTGGGATGTGTGGGTGAGTGTGTGAAGACGATGGGCCCATGGGGGGCTCACAGACAGAGTTTGCTGCCTGGGGAAAGGGGTTGCCAAGTCCTTCTCAGGCTCCACTGCTGTTGGGCTGGATGAAGTTCAGGGTGGGGCTGGGCGGATGGACACAGGATGGACGTGCCGCATGCTGCTCGCATCCACGCGTGGCAGGTTGTGCCACCTGCTTGGGGCCTCAGCTCTGATTGTCCATAGCCCCTCTCCCTCCCTCCCAAGAAAGCAGGCAGGGGTGGATGGGAAGCAAGCGAGCGGGGAAGTGTGGGTGGCGGGGGGCTCTTGAGTCTGCTCATTGATGTGGAACAGGCAGGTCCCCTGGGAATGTGGAGCTTTGACTTTAAACGGCGACTCAGCACTGGCAAGAGGCCTCCCAGCAGGTGCTTCAGTGTGTGGTTAGGCTGGAGCCAGCAGGGGGCAGGGGAGAGTGCCCTCAGTGCAGGGTCTTGCCCCCCACCTCTGTCCCCTCACTCGGCTCCATGCTTTGTTCAGGTGTGGCCCTCACTCGGCTCCGTGCTTTGTTTAGGTGTGGCCCTCACTCGGCTGTGTGCTTTTTCTAGGTGTGGCCATCAAGATCCCCATCGTGTGCGTGGTGCTGGAGGGCGGCCCGGGCACGTTGCACGTGAGTATGGCCAGGTGGGAGGGGGCATGTGTGGGCCCGTCCTGCTGCAGGCAGATGACTGTCCAAAAGTGCTTGTCTCAGAACTCAAGACTGTTGGCAAGAGGGCGATGAGCTTTCCCACCAGAAGAAGAGAAAGAGCATCTACGCTGTGTCGGGGCTGCTTCTGGGTGGGTGGAGGACGGGTCGGAGGAAGGTGCCTGGAGGAGGAGGCTGGGCTTGGCTATGACTGGGCCATTGACCGGCGTGGAAGGAAAGGGTGGGGCCCCAGGGCCTGGAGTGAGTGGGGCGCCTCTGCTCCCAGGACCTGCTGGGGAGGCTGGGGGGTTTCTACAACTCTGCCCCCAAGATTCCTCCAGGAAGCATTTTTCAAAGTACAGGGCTGTGGCCCCCATCCCAGATCCGTGGTGCCAGCAGCTGTGTGACTGCAGATTTGGCAGGCAGCTTGAATGCGCTGCTCTGCCGGCCTTCCTTCCCGACCCTAACCCTAACTGCTTTGTGGCGTGCAGGGTGCGAGGTGACCTCACCTGCTGTAGGAATGTACGAGGACATATAGCCTGAGGATCTGGAGCAAGAGTATGGGCTTTTGTGAAGGATGGGATCACAGGCAATGTCCCGTTTATGTTTCATGATTGCAGGAGGTCAAAACAGAGCCTTGGGGGCTTGAGGCTGGATGGGAATCCATAGAGCACTGGGTCCTCACTCCCTATGCGTGCCGAGTACCCTTCACGGCTCTTCTGCTGGGGCGGCTGCACCCGCCTCCTTACCCCAGGCCGATGCTCATGCACACGGCAGAGTCCTTCCTGCCAGACAGCTTTGTGTCCAGTCCCTTCCCGAAGTCCAGCACACCCTGGAGCCCAGGTGCCCTCCTCATGGCTCTGCTCTTACTGTGGGCTTTTATGAGGTCGGTAACTCCAGGTCCATGCAGCGTCCCCTTTGCTGCGAGGCCCTCACGTCTGCAGGTCCATGGGCAAAAATGCTGGGAGTCTTTGATTCTGCTGGAGCTGAGGCCTGAGAGGTGCCAGGTGTGCAGCCCCCAGTGTGTTGGGGCAGCTCCCTCTTCCCCCAGAGCAGGGGACGCCACGAAACTAATAAGTGCTTTCAGTGGATCTCGGAGTAGTGTTAGCCAGCTCTGCCCTTAGCTGGCCTTGGAGAATTCTCCATTTCAGAAAGCATCGGAGCGGTGAGGACCCAGTCCCGGGCTCACACCCCCACCTGCCTTGCAGACCATCGACAACGCCACCACCAACGGCACCCCCTGTGTGGTTGTGGAGGGCTCGGGCCGCGTGGCCGACGTCATTGCCCAGGTGGCCAACCTGCCTGTCTCGGACATCACTATCTCCCTGATCCAGCAGAAACTGAGCGTGTTCTTCCAGGAGATGTTTGAGACCTTCACGGAAAGCAGGATTGTCGAGTGGACCAAAAAGGTGAGGCTGACGGGCACGACGGTCACCAGCATGTGGCTGCTTTGCAGAGACACTGTCAGCCTGGTGGGCAGGACCAGGACTCATGGACCGATGCGGAGAACCCACTGGGTCTGAGTGGGTGCCAGAGCGATTTGCAGAGGGCAGGGCCCAGGTGGTAAACCTCCTGGCTGGGTTCCGGAGGTCAGATCCCAAGACAGCATGTGAAAGGAGGGTGTGAACCTCACCCGCAGCACACCAGGGCGGGCTGGGAACGCTGCGGGGCTCAGTGGTGCTGTGAAAAGGGTCTGCTGGATTGGAGGGGTGGGAGGCAGGCGCTGGGGAGGCCTCAGCCGAGTCGGGCAGCAGGGCAGCTGCTGAGCAATGGCTGTGGGTCGCAGGGTCCAGTCCAGATTGTAGCCTCATAGGTGAGTTAATGGAGGCATGTAGAGTGGCCTCAGGAGGGGCCATTGCCCCAGTCCAGGGGTAGATTTTGGGTGGCCCCTGCCATGACCCCAGCCTCCAGAGGGGGTCCGTTGTGAAGGGCCGTGGTTGGCCAGCCCTGGCCACCCCACCAAGCCCTTGACCAGGGGGGTGGGCTCCAGTGGAGAGCCTCTCCCCTCCCTGTGCCTGCTGCTTCCAGGGTGACCTGACTCAATTCCTGGCAGGATTCTTTGCAGGGGCTGGCACTGGGGCCTTTTCATCCTCAGTTTCCCAGCAAGCCAGGGCCGGCAGAGCCCTCTGTCTGTGTCTTTCCTGCAGACCCGGGACATCTCCAGGTTCTGAGTGGCTGACATGCGCTTTCCACTGTGTTGAATTTGGGTTCTGTGGGCAGTGGTGACCCCCAGCTGCAGGCCGCAGGGACACACCTATTTGGCCAGATTGGGCCTGTGGAGAGTGGATTAAAAATGAGCACCCTCAGGAACCACGGGTGTCGGAAGGGCTGGGTGGAGGTCTTGGCCCCGTTGGCCGATTCAGAAGCAGAGTTTCTCTGACTGGTGATTTGTGGGTGGCACAGTGACCTTGTTTCCTTCTGTGCTTTGCGATGGTCTCAGAGTGACCTCGTTCTGCACAGATGTCTTCTGAGAGCGTTTTTGTCCGGCAGGAGAATAACATGATGTAGCTGCAAGCGTCAGATCAGTTTGTGAAAACATCGTGGTCCGGCTGTGAGCGGCCGCTCAGCTCCCCATGTCAGGGCGGCTTTCCTTCCTTCCCGGTGCCATTGGGACTTGTCGGGCGGGCCCTGGAGCCCTCTCTCTGCTGGTTGATAAATTATTCAGGCAATTCTCAGAACTGAGTTTAATCTGCTGTTGTTGAAAGGTGCCTATTTTTAATGCACTCTCCATAGCCAAGCCAAGGCCCTGAAAGTGGTGCTTTCACACACAGCCGTCAGGCCTCAGCAGGGGCTCGGCATTCGCTGATGCTCCTGCTCAGTGGGGAGGGGCCCAGCCATGCAGCCAGGGTCAGTGCGCTCCTTTAACACGCCTTCTCAGAGTGTCCGTCTACACTGTGGAGGAGTTGCAGAGCTACCCTCGGGTGCTGCTGCTGGTGGGCGGCCCCGTCAGAGGGGCCCGGGGACCTCCCTGCAGGGGCTCACAGCTGTGGCCAGGAAGAAGTTGCCCACCCTCGCTCAGCCTTGCCTTTCTCATCTGTTAAGTAGGGGTACTGAGTGCTCGACTCAGACGAGGAAACGAGGCCCTGGCGTCCATATGGGCTCAGACGCTGGGAGCTGCTTCACCCTATGAGGACAGGGCGGGCTGAAGTCCAGGAGACTTTTATGGGCTCAGACGCTGGGAGCTGCTTTACGGTATGAGGATGGGGGTGCTGAAAGCCAGGAGACCTTTGGCTGCTGGATGAGGGTGGAGTTCGCCAGGGAGCTCAGGATGTGTTTTGGAGTTGTCATGAAAGCTGGACCCCGAGGGATGGGGCACCGTTGGGGTCTTAGGCATGGAGGTGGAGTGTGAGGAGCCCTCCAGGTGAGGGCAGAGTCTATGTGGAGGCAATGGGGCCAGGCTGCGGACGAGGAGAGAAGCAGGGGAGGCCAGGTGTGGCTGGCCTGGGGAGCCAGAGGGAGAAGGCTGAGGCTTACTTTGGGAGCAGTGGGAGCCATGGGAAGATGCGTTTGTGGAGTTGCTCGCCCTGGACACAGGGGGAAGGTGCTTCAAGGAGGAGTAACTGTAGTAGACATACCTGCTAGGGATGCCATGATGGATGGATGGATGGATGGATGGTGGGTGGGTGGTAGATAGATGGATGGATGATGGGTGGGTGTGTGGATGGCTGGATGGAAAGATGGATGGATGAATAGATGGATGGATGGATGGTGGGTGGGTGGGTGGGCCATGTGGATGGATGGATGGATGGAGGGATAGGTGGGTAGCTAGATGATAGGTAGATTAGATGGATGGATGGATGGATAGATAGATAGACAGACAGGTGATAAAATGGATGGACTGGGCACTGTGGCTCACAATTGTAATCCCAGCACTTTGGGAGGTTGATGCGGGTGGATCACTTGAGGTCAGGAGTTTGAGACCAGCCTGGCCAACATGGTGAAACCACATCTGTACTAAAAATACAAACATTATCCAGGCATGGTGGTGGGTGCCTGTAATCCCAGCTACTTGGGAGGCTGAGGCAGGAGAATTGCTTGAAGCCAGGAGGTGGAGGTTGCAGTGACCCAAGATCGTGCCACTGCACTCCAGCCTGGGTGGCAGAGCAAAAAGTCTGTCTCAAAAAAAAAAAAAAAAGATGAATGAATTGATATGATAGATAGATGGATAGATAGATAGATAGATAGATAGATAGATAGATAGATAGATGGATGATAGATAGATAGTGGGTGGGAGGTAGATAGAAAGATAAGTGGATGGATGAATGGTTGGTAGGTGGGTGTGTGTATGGATGGATGGAAAGATGGATGGATGGATGGATAGCTAGACAATAGATAGATACATGTGGATGGATAGATGGATACATGGATAGATGGATAGGTAGATAGATAGATACATACATATATACATAGATGAAACACACACATGGATGGATAGATAGAT
This sequence comes from Homo sapiens, assembly GCF_000001405.40. Taxonomy (NCBI): domain Eukaryota; kingdom Metazoa; phylum Chordata; class Mammalia; order Primates; family Hominidae; genus Homo; species Homo sapiens. Next base: position 44,382,230 of record NC_000021.9, read on the forward strand.
TTATAGATGGATAGATTATGTAGATAGATGGATAGATGCATAGATGGATAGATAGATCAGATTATGTAGATAGATAGATGGATAGATGCATAGATGGATAGATAGATAGACTGATCGATCGACAGACAGACAGATAAATAAGTAGACAGATAGATAGGCAGGTAGGCAGGTGGTGAGGAGTGGCCTGGGCTTAGCAGGAGGGCTAGGAGGAGCAGCCTCGCATGAAGCTGCACTATCGTCAGGGTGAAGATCCGTTGCCCTTGGATTGTGTTTTCCACCCAACAGACTCTCACGAACATGATGTATTTGGTCCCCATGGATCTTCATCTGCACCATCTAGGGCAAGAGGAGATGTGGTGGTGTCCTGGCCACAAGCGCAGGCAGGACCCAAGGCTCTGGCTGTGTCCGGGGCCTCAATTCTATGTGTCCTGGAGGAGGCAGGGGTTCAGGAGTCACTGTGTGTCTCACTTAGAAAATGCTTGTTGCAGATCCAAGATATCGTCCGGAGGCGGCAGCTGCTGACTGTCTTCCGGGAAGGCAAGGATGGTCAGCAGGACGTGGATGTGGCCATCTTGCAGGCCTTGCTGAAAGGTGAGGGTCAGGGAACATGGGGGCAATGGGGTGGAGGCCAGAACGTGAGCTCTGAGGACGCCAAGTTCTAGTCTTGAAGTGCCATGATTCTGGGAACCAGAATATTCCTCCTTGGTCAGAAACCCTGGCCAGAGGGCAGCTGGCGACGTGCAGGTGGGCGCCTGCCTGTCACCTGATGTTAGAGGTATGAGCTCCTTTATTTGTAACTGGAATCCGAGTGCAGCCTGTGTCATTTTTACCTTTGTAGTGGTCATAATTTCTCATAAAACTTCAGGGTGGAAAGAAAGAGTGCAGAAGTTGCCTCTCTCAACTTCCTGCTTGCTGGCTGCTTTAGCTCCTCTACCTCTGATGCAGGAAAGAGTGTAGAGGTAGAGCAGGGCCTCAGGAATGGTGTGATGGACTTGAGCTGTAGTGGCTCTCTGTGTAACTTCTGTTGCTTAGCCTGGCCCATTCTCCAGGCCACAAACATCACTGTCCTCTTCTCATGCCACAGGAGAGAAGGCTTATGCCTCTTTGTCTTACCCAGCTGGCACCTGACACTGGGAAGCCTTGGTCTTATATGTGCTCCTCCCGCCCGATGCTGGGCTTCTCACCCTCCAGGGTCGGAGGCCCCAGGCTGATTCTGAAGGGCTCAGCAGAGTGGGCCCAGGCTGGGATCAGCAGGGAACTTTTGTGATAAAGGCCAGACTTTCATCTTGTTTCTGTGTTGATTTGAGACTCCCCTTATCAAGGACTTGATGTTGTGCATAAAACCTCACACAAACAGCGAGATGATAGACTACATATTAGACCACAAATTAAGCCTTAATTTATCTCTCAATAGATTTAAGATAGATATTATACAAATTATCTTCTCTGACAACAAGATGAAGTTAGGAATTAATAATGGATGTAAAAGTGGAAAATTCACAAAGTTGTGGAAACTAAACGACACTACCTTACACAGCCAATGGATGAAAGAAGAAATCAAAAAGGAAATCAAGAAACCAATGAAAACAAAAGCACAATATATCAAAGCTTATGGGACATAGCAAAAACAATGCTAATGGAGAAGTTTATAGCTATAAATGCTTACATTAAAAAATAAGATCTTAAACCAACAACCTAACTTTACAACTTAAGTAATTAGAAAAATAAGAACAAATGAAATCCAAAAGTAGCAGAATGAAGGAAATAGTACAGATTAGAGCAGAGATCAATGACATAAAGAATAGAAAATTGCAGAGAAAATCAATAAAGTGAAAAATTGGTTATTTGAAAAGATCAACAAAATTGACACACATTTAGCTAACTGGACTAAGAAAAAAGAAAGAAGATTCATATTACTAAAATTAGAAATGAAAGTAGGGACATTACTCCTGACTCTACAGAAGTAAAAGGATTCTGTGAATAATTGTATGCCAACATGTTGGATAACCTAGATGTGTTAGTCTGTTTTATGTGACTAAAACAGAATACCACAGACTAAGTACTTTATAAACTACCTAGTACTTTATAAATCAATCACTGACCATCCTTGCCTTCCCAGAGGATGGTCAGCATCTGGCAAAATTGAGGGGCCAGCATCTGGCAAGGGCCTGCCTCATGTCATTCCAGAATGGCAGCACATACATGCCCTTCCACTGGAAGGCAGAAGGGTAAGGGAGCACACAGATGCATGAAAGAGAGTAAGAAAGCAAGAGGGAGCTAAACTTGCTTTTTATAACAAGCCCACTCTTGAAATAACTAACCCACTCCCAAAATAAGACATTAATCCATTCATGAAGGCTTTGCCCTGTAATGGATCACCTCTATTAGGCCCCACCTCCCAACATTATTATACTGGGGATTACATTTACAACACATGAACTTTGGGGAAAACATTCAAGCCATAGCACTAGATGAAATGAACACATTTCTAGAAGCACAAAACCTACCAAGACTAAATCATAAAAAAATCAAAACTCTGAATAGACCTATAAGTAGTAAGGAGACTGAATCAGTAATAAAAAATCTCCCCATAAAAGTTTTAGGGCTGATAGCTTCACTGGTGAATTCTACCAAATGTTTAAAGAACTAACACCAATCCTTCTCAAACTTTCCCCAACAATTCAAGAAGGAAGGCTTCCTAATTCATTCTGTGAGGCCAGCATTATTCTGATACCAAAGACAGACACTACAAGAAAAGAAAACTACAGACCAATATCCATTATGAACATTGATACGAAATTCTTCAACAAAATATTAGCATACAAAATTCAGTAGCATTAACAGGATTATACACTATGACTACATGAGATTTATTCCTGGAATGCAAGGATGGTTCAACATATGAAAATTAATCAATACACCACATTAACAGAATGATGGGGAAAAAACATGATTATCTCAACTGATACATTTGACAAAATTTGACACCCTTTCATGGTAAAAACATTCAACAAATTAGGAATAAAAGGAAACTACCTTGATGTAATAAAAGCCATATATGAAAAACTCCCAGCGAATATCATGTTCAATGGTGAAAGACTGGGACATAGCAAAAACAGTGCTAATGGAGAAATTTATAGCTATACATGCTTACATTAAAAAATAAGATCTTAAACCAACAACCTAACTTTACAGCTTAAGTAATTAGAAAAATAAGAACAAATGAAATCTTTTCCTCCAAGATAGAAATAAGGGAAGGATGCATACTTTCACCACTTCCATTCAACATTGCGTTGGAAGTTCAAGCCAGAGCAATTAGACAAGAAAAAGAAATAAAACTTATAAATTGGGAAGGAAGAAGTAGAATTATTTGTTCACAGATGATATGATTTTCGTATTTGTCCATTTTCACACTGCTATAAAGAAATGCCCAAGACTGGGTAATTTATAAAGGAAAGAGGTTAAATTGACTCACAGTTCAGCATGCCTTGGAAGGCCTCAGGAAACTTACAATCATGGTGGAAGATGAAGGGGAAGAAAGGCACTGTCTTCACAAGGTGACAGGAAGAAGAGGTGCCAAATGAAGAAGGAAGAGCCCCTTCTAAAACCATCAGATCTCATGAGAACTTACTACCATGAGAACAGCATAGGGGAAACTGTCCCCACAATCCAACTACCTCCACCTGGTCTCTCCCTTGACACATGGGGATCATAGGGATTATAATTCAAGATGAGATTTGGGTGGGGACACAAAGCCTAACCATATCAATTTTCTATGCAGAAAACTAAAGATTCTACAACATACCCCTGAACTAAGAAATGAATTCAGCAAAGTAGCAGGACACAAAATCAATACACAAAAATCTGCCACATTTGCCAGGTGTGATGGCTCATGCCTGTAATCTCAGCACTTTGGGAGGCGGAGGTGGGCGGATCACGAGGTCAGGAGATTGAGACCATCCTGGCTAACATGGTGAAACCCCGTCTCTACTAAAAATACAAAAAATTAGCTGGGCGTGGTGGCGAGCACCTGTAGGGCATGGTGGCGAGCGCCTGTAGTCCCAGCTACTTGGGAGGCTGAGGCAGGAGAATGGTGTGAACCCAGGAGGCAGAGCTTGCAGTGAGCTGAGATCATGCCACTGCACTCCAGCCTGGGTGACAGCAAGACTCCGTTCCCCCACCACCAAAAAAAAATCTGCTGCATTTCTATACACTAAAAATGAATAATCAGAAAAGGAAATTGTGAAAACAATTCTATTTACAGTAGCATCAAAAAGAAAAAAAATACTGAGGAATTAATTAAACCAAGGGGGTGAAAGACTTGTACAATGAAAACTGTAAAACATTGCTGAAAGAAATGAAAGAAGACATAAATAAATGGAAAGACATCCCATGTTCATGAATTGGAAGCCTTAATATTGTTAAGATGTCAGTACTACTCAAAGCAATCTACAGATCCAATGCAATTCCTATCAAAACCCCAGTGATTTTTTTTTTTTTGCAGAAATAGAAAAGCCCATCCTAAAATTCATGTGGAGTCTAAAGGGATCCCAAACAGCCAAAATAATTTTGAAAGGGAAGAACAAAGCTGGAAGACTCACACTTTCTGATTTCTAAACTCACTACAAAGCTATAGTAATCAAAACAGTGTGGTAATGGTGTAAAGAAAGACATAGAGGGCTGGGTGTGGTGGCTCATGCCTGTAATCCCAGCACTTTGGGAGGCCAAAGTGGGCTGATTGCTTGAGCTCAGGGGTTTGAGACCAGCCCAAGCAACATGGTGAAACCTTGTCTCTATAAAAAATATAAAAGCTGGGCAAGGTGGTTCATGCTTGTAGTCCCAGCTGTGTGGGAGGTTGAGGGGAGAGGATCACTTGAGCCCAGAAGGTTGGGGCTGCAGTGAGCTGTGATTGCACCACTGCACTCCAGCCTGGGCAACAGAGCAAGACCCTGTCTCAAAAAAATCCCAAAAAGATATGGAGACCAATGGAATAGAATAGTGAGCCCAAAAATAAACCCTCGCATATATGGTCAAATGATATTTGACAGGAATGCAAAAATCATTCAGTGAGGAGAGGGACAGTCTTTTCAACAAATGATGCTGGATAAACTGGATATCCACATGCCAAAGAATCAAGTTAGACCCTTACCTAACACCATATACAAAAACTAACTCAAAGTAGATCAAGGACTTCTGAATATAAGACCTAAACTCTTAGAAGAAAGCACAGGGCAAAAACTTCATGACAAAGGATTTGGCAGTGGTTTCTTGGCCATGACACCTAAGGCACAGGAAACAAAAGAAAAAATAGATAAATTGGACTTTATGAAAATTAAATAATTTTGTGCATCAAAAGATATTATCAACAGAGTAAAAAGGCAACCCATGGAATGGGAGAAAATATTTGCAAATCATACATATGGTAAGGGATTGGTATCCAGAATATATAGAGAACTCCTATAACTCAACAATAAAAAAAAAACACAATTCAAAAATGGGCAAAGGACTTAAATAGACATTTCTTTAAAGAAGTCGTACAAATGGCCAATAAGCACGTGAAAAGATGCTCAGCATCACTAATCATTAGAGAAATGCAGATCAAAACTAAGAGATATCATTTCAAACACATTAGGATAGCTACTATAGAAAAGAACAGAAAATCACAAATGTTGGCCAGTGTGTGGAGAAACTGGAGCCCTTGTGCACTGTTGGTGGATATGTAACATGGTGCAGCTGCCGTGGAAAACAGGATGACAGTTCCTTAAATATTTAAAAATACAATTCCTATATGATCCAGCTATTCCACTCCTCAGATACATATGCCACTCCCCACCCCCAAATTTAAAGCAGGGTCTGGAAGAGATATGTGTATACTCATGTTCATAGCTGCATTATCCACAATAGCTAAAAAGTGGAAGCAGCCCAAGTGTCCATTGACAGAAGAATAGATAAGCAAAATGTGGTCTATACCTACAATGGAATATTACTGAGCTTTAAAAAGGAAGGAAATTCTGACACATGCTGCAACATGGTTGAACCCTTAAGACATTATGTTAAGTGAAATAAGCCAGTCACAAAAGGACAAATACTATATGATTCCAGTTACAAGAGGTCCCTGGAGTAGTCAAATTCATGGAGACAGAAAGTAGAATGGTGGGTGCCAGGATCTGGGGGAGAGGTGAATGAGGAGTTAATGTTTAATGGGGATAGAGTTTTAGTTTCCAAGATAAAAAGATATATGGAGAAGGACAGTGATGATGGCTGCACAACATTATGAATATACTTAAGACCAGTGAACTGTACGCTTAAAAATATTTGGCTGGGTGAGCTGGCTCATGCCTATAATCGCAGCACTTTGGGAGGCTGAGGTGGGAGGATCACTTGAGCCCAGCCTAGGCAACATGGAGAACCCTGTCACTACAAAAAAAAAAAAAAAAAAAAACTAGTCAGGCATGGTAGCACACACCTGTACTCTTAGTTACTCAAGAGGCTGAGGTGGGAGGATTGCTTGAGCCCAGGACGTTGAGGCTGCAATAAGCCTTATGATTATAAATATGATCACAGCACTGTGCTCCAGCCTGGGTGACAGAGGAAGACCCTGTCTCAAAAACAAAAACAAAAACAACCCAAAAAGTTAAGATGGTAAATTTTATGCTACACGTATTTTACCACAGTTTAAAAACATAATGAATTTTAAAATATCAACTTTATGAAGGTTCAGCTTAGAGACAATAAGCTCCCTCAATTCTAAATGTACTGTATAACAAGCACAGACACCGTGACCCACCACAGTCTCCATACAGGACATCTCCCCTATCCTGAATATTCCCTCATGGCCCTTTGTAGTTAAGCCTCCCTCCAGACTGGCTCTGGAAATCATCTGTCTGCTTTCTGTCACTCTAGATTAGTTTTGCCCATTTTAGAACTTCACGTGAATGAAATCATACATGATGCATTCTTTCATGTCTTGTTTCTTTTGCTCAGTGCATTGTTTTTGAGATTCATCCATGTTGTTGCATGTGTCAGAACTTTGTTCTTTTTTGTCTGTGAAGGAGTGTCCTGTTGTGTGAATACACCACAGGTTGTTTTTCCATTCATCTGTTGGGGTGCATTTAGGTTGTTTCCAGTTTGGGGCTATTATGAATAAAGCTGCTATTTGTCTTCATTTCTCCTGGGTCAATATCTAGGAGTGGAATTACTGGCCTTTATGGTAAGTGTATGTTTTACTTTGTAAAAAACTGACAAACTTTTCTGAAAATATTGCATTCTTTTTCCTGTGTGCTGGCAGTGGATGAGCGTTACCCTACATCCTTGTCCACACTTGGTGTTGTCAGTCTTTTAAACTGTAGCCATCCTAGTGGATGTGAAGTGACATCTCATTGTGGTTTGAATTTACATTTTCCTGAGGACTACTGATGTGGAGCATCATTTTAAGGACTTTTTGGCCATTTGCCTGTCTTCCTTCTGAAATGTCTTTCAGATCTCTTGTCCATTTTTATTTGATTGTTTGTCTTCCAGTTTTCGATTTGTAAGAGTTATTTATATATTCGGATACAAATCGTTCGTCAGATATTATTTTCTCATGGTGTGTAGTTTCCTTTCATATTTTCTTCAAGATGTCTTTGAAGAGCAGGAGGCTTAAAATTTTTTTTTTTTTTTTTGAGATGGAGTCTCGCTCTGTTGCCCAGGCTGGAGTGCAGTGGCGCGATCTCGGATCATTGCAAGTTCCGCCTCCTGGGTTCACACCATTCTCCAGCTTCAGCCTCCCAAGTAGCTGGGACTACAGGTGTCCACCACCACGCCTGGCTAATTTTTTGTATTTTTAGTAAAGACAGGGTTTCGCCGTGTTAGCCAGGATGGTCTCGATCTCCTGACCTCATGATCCACCCGCCTTGGCCTCCCAAAATGCGGGATTACAGGTGTGAGCCACCTCGCCCAGCCAATTTAATCAATTTTTCTTTATGGTTCATGTTCTTTGTGTCATAGCTAAGAGATCTCTGCCCATCCCAAGGTTGCAGATATTTTCTTCTGTTTTCTGACGGCAGTTTTGTAGACATAGCCTTTATGTTTGGGCCTAAGAACCGCTCCATGTTGATTCTTGTGTATGGTGTGAGGTAAGGGTCAAAGTTCTTTTTTCTTTTTCCCCAAATAACAACCCATGTTTTAAAAAGTTAAACCAGAAAGGGAACACAGAAACTACTTGAGCAAAATAACTTGTCCTGAGAACCAGTGAGGTGGTTGTTACTGTTGAACATTTACAGGCAGTTGAGGCAGGAAAGGAAATGTGATGGCTTCTGAGTCCTGAGTTTTGGATGTTAGTGTAAGATGCCTGCCCTCCAGAGACCTATGTCTTCTTAAAACAGTGAGGCCCTTTTCTTGCTTACTGCCCACCTGTCGCTTAGGGGCCAGGGCATGGCCAGGAGGAGGGCAGGGGAAACAGGAGTGAGTGGACGTGATGACCAAAGCCCCAAGATTCACTGATTCTGACTCCGAAATGGAACATGCTTTTGCAAGGCTGTGTGTATGGGAGGAGGTCACTGGGTGCTGCGCCTGTCACTTTGAATTGTTGAGAGGCAAGGGCTCATGACACATCCCTGACTCTGACATCATTTCCCTGGAGGGAAATGGCTTTGAGCTCCAGATCGAGGCCCAATATGCACCTGTTCATCTGCAGCCTCACGGAGCCAAGACCACTTTGGCCACGAGAACTGGGACCACCAGCTGAAACTGGCAGTGGCATGGAATCGCGTGGACATTGCCCGCAGTGAGATCTTCATGGATGAGTGGCAGTGGAAGGTAAGTCTTCCAGAGCACCCCGTGGAGGGGCCTACTGGGCCCACATGCATTGCACCACTGAAGCAAGGGCAGGCAAAGTTCGCATTGTCTGGATCCCAGCCCTTCCCTTGAGGGTGGGTGACCTGGGCAGCTTTCATCCTCCCCAGGTTGGGGACAACAGCAGCCCCCATCTCCAGGGTCTTTGAGATCAGGATGACATGGGGTGATGACCAAATGCAACCGTCACTGCACAATGCTTGCTCTCAGCCTTCAGATCTGCACCCCACGATGACAGCTGCACTCATCTCCAACAAGCCTGAGTTTGTGAAGCTCTTCCTGGAGAACGGGGTGCAGCTGAAGGAGTTTGTCACCTGGGACACCTTGCTCTACCTGTACGAGAACCTGGACCCCTCCTGCCTGTTCCACAGCAAGCTGCAGAAGGTGCTGGTGGAGGATCCCGAGCGCCCGGCTTGCGCGCCCGCGGCGCCCCGCCTGCAGATGCACCACGTGGCCCAGGTGCTGCGGGAGCTGCTGGGGGACT